>NC_000001.11:54705350-54856865 GCF_000001405.40 Homo sapiens | reverse complement strand
ACATTGTCTGGGAGAGTATAAAATGGTACAAGCTCTGAAATGGTATCCATGAAAATTGCACACACTGTTTAAGCCAAAATCTTCCACTTCTAGGAATTTATCTTTCTGACACATATATAAATGGGCAAAGATAACATATACGAAGTATATTAGTTGGAATAATCTGGAAATAATCTAAATGTCTGCCAGTATAGAAGTGATTAAATAAATTATGACACATCTGCTGTAATCGAGCAGGGGTCAATAACCTTTGTTTTTTTTTTTGAGACGGAGTCTCCCTGAGTCATCCAGGCTGGAGTGCAATGGTGCAATCTTGGCTCACTGCAACCTCCGCCTCTCCGCTTCAAACGATTCTCCTTGCCTCCGCCTCCTGAGTAGCTGGGATTACACGCACCCGCCACCACGCCCGGCTAATTTTTTTTGGTGTTTTTAGTAGAGACAGGGTTTTGCCATGTTGGCCAGGCTAGTCTTGAACTACTGACCTCAAGTGATCTGCCCGCTCAGCCTCCCAAAGCGCTGGGATTACAGGCATGAGCCACCGCACCCGATCCAATAAGCATTTTATACAATGGGCCAGATAGTATACAGTCTAGGTTTTTCGGACCATAAGGCCTCTCTAGTAACTGCTCCTCTGCCTTGTAGCCTGGAGGCAGCCATGGACAATTTGTAAAGGAACACACAACCAGAGGGTGGGCCGAATTTGTGGACCCCTGCAGCACACATTAGACACCCACAACCGAAGGCAGTAGTGCCCTCTGTATTGATACAGGATACAGTGATGAGCCAGTGGTGCTAAGATGCCACCATTTATGAGGTTTTTTTGCTTTCTGTTTTTTCAAAGCTCCTCTGCTTCTCCGTATCAGATGTCCCCCAAAGGGTAGGCAAATCATTCTTACCAATGCTTGCCATTAGGGAGGGGGAGGAGAGTTGAGGGTGGGTGGGGAGCCAGGTCAGGTCATTGCTGGGAGGGAAACAGGGTCAGGAATGCGCAGGGAGGCTTAACTTTTGTACTATGGGGATTTCTGCTGTGGGCATGTGTAGGTCTTCCAAAGGTAACCAAGGAAACAATAAAAGCCAGGCTATTTATTGAGATCCTGTTGCATGCCAGACATTGGCAAAGGCGCAGGATCTAACAGAAGAAAACAGGCAGGTCCCTGACTTCATGGGAGTGGTCCGGCAGCTCCAGAGGAGTGAGGGAAAGGGTCACTCAGCCTTCAGTGCTTACACACATGGCTGCTTTGGGGAGTCACCGTGCCCCCTAGTCTGATGTGGACCCTTTCATGAGCTGCCCCAGCCTCTGTTTGTCCCCACTCTTCCCACACTCATCCAGTGGCCTGTGTCTTCCACACCTGCGGTTGTGGGTGTCTTAAGGACAGAGACCATGTCTCAGTTATCTTGGTTCCCCAGCACCCAGCATAGAACCTGGTTCCTGACCTCGGAGGCCCCTTGGAACTGTTTTTTTTTTTTTTTTGGAGACGGAGTCTCACTCTGTCGCCCACACTGGAGTGCAGTGGCACAATCTCGGCTCACTGCAAGCTCCGCCTCCTGGGTTCACGCCATTCTCCTGCCTCAGCCTCCTGAGTAGCTGGGACTACAGGCGCCCGCCACCATGCCCGGCTAATTTTTTGTATTTTTAGTAGAAACGGGGTTTCACCGTGTTAGCCAGGATAGTCTCGATCTCCTGACCTCATGATCCATCTGCCTCGGCCTCCCAAAGTGCTGGGATTACAGGCATGAGCCACCGTGCCTGGCCAGAACTGTTTAATGAATGGAGGAGCAGCCTTGGCTTCAAGGGCTCCCAGAGCTGTGAGAATCGGGCATCAGTGGACACTGGGGACCCTCAGGAACATGGTAGGACTCAAGCAGGGAGGAGGATTGTGACCCAGGGGCCAAAGTCTTCTCTGTTGGAGGTGGGCAGAGCTGGAGGGAAGAGGGGGCCATCGTCAGGAGGCAGCAGTGCTGAGTGAGGAAGCTCCCGCCTCGTGGCAGTCTGAGGCGTGGAAGAGAACAGCTTCTGCGCAGGAGGGTTTCCAGGGAGACCGAATTGGGGGAGCCAGGCGGGTGGTCAGGCTGTGAGCAAGGGATGCTGCAAACCAGTGGGCTCCTTGTCGAACCTGAGCCAGACTGCACCCACCCCATGAGCGCTGTCTCTGGCTGTGTGCCCCTAGGGAGACTGCTTAAATTCTCTAAGAATCACTATGCTCATTCAACAGCATTCGTTTCTCAAACATTTATGGAATGCCAGCTCTATTCCAGCCAGATCTCAACAGCTAGATCAGGAATGATAGCTAGCTCATTATTGCACTCCAGGCATGGGGTTGAGTGCCTTCCACTTGGTATTAATATCTCATTATCCTCACAAGGCCCATTTTACAGATAAGGAAACTGAGCTCAAAGAAGTTAAGTAACTAGCCCGGGGTCATCACTACTGGCGAATGCCAGAGCTGAGAAGCAAACCTAGATTGGACTGGTAAAGTCCTAGGTCCCATCACACCCCCTCCAAAGAGGGGAATTGGACTCAGGCGTGCTTCTGTCAAGCACAGAATGGGACCTGGCCCCTGGCCCCTTGCACTTGGAGACATTCAACCCTTGTTGGTTTTTTTCTCTCCAACCCTAATCTTTGTTTTCCAGGACATTATCCCCTTTGGCAACAACCCCATCTTCCGCTACCTCTTTGGCTGGATGGTGCCTCCCAAGATCTCCCTCCTGAAGCTGACCCAGGGTGAGACCCTGCGCAAGCTGTACGAGCAGCACCACGTGGTGCAGGACATGCTGGTGCCCATGAAGTGCCTGCAGCAGGCCCTGCACACCTTCCAAAACGACATCCACGTGAGTGGGGCAGGGCAGGGAGGGCGCACCAGGTGCATTCCCTTGGAATCCATGGTCTCCTCCCCTGAACCGTGTGACCGACCTTGGGCACACTGCCCTCTGGGTGTTTTCCCAACTTTAAGATGAGGTCCTTGTCCCTATGTCTGCTGAGGCCTCAACCCACTCAGTGATGGCCCCCCTGGGAGAGGAGTCATAGGGTCTGGCATCGAGCACTCCCATGACCTGCTCCGATTGTGTCCTCCAAGGTGGTGGAGTCAGGGTGTTCTCAGCCAGGGCTGGGGGGCGGGGCAGTGAAGCTGAGAGCACCTGAGGGGGTCTTGAGAATGCTGCAAAGCCTTCATTTGGGTGGGTATGAGCGGGCCAGCCATGAGCCTGTCACCTGTTGGAGAAAAAGCACCAATACCCACCTCCCTGGTCTACCCAGGTCTACCCCATCTGGCTGTGTCCGTTCATCCTGCCCAGCCAGCCAGGCCTAGTGCACCCCAAAGGAAATGAGGCAGAGCTCTACATCGACATTGGAGCATATGGGGAGCCGCGTGTGAAACACTTTGAAGCCAGGTCCTGCATGAGGCAGCTGGAGAAGTTTGTCCGCAGCGTGCATGGGTGAGTGGCCCAGAGTATAGTATGTTGCCTCTAGCTGACAGCCCCAGGGTACTGCTCCAGGGGAATGAGGCCAGCTCTATGGAGAACCAGGAGCCCCAAGCCTATCAACTGGTTCCTTAGGGCCCCTGCAGCTGTGGCAGCCTCTGGGTCAGGAGGTAAGCTGTGAAAGATGGGCAGGGGGTGGGCTTGCAGGACTACTTGCCCTCTTCTCCCTGCACCCCCTCCTCCAGTGAACATGTCACACCCCCCCAGCAGCCCCAGCCAGAAACCTGGGAGTCACCCCACTCCTCCCCACGGAACAGATGATGGGTGTGGGCTTAGCTGGGTCCAGGGGCAACTGCTCCAGATGGAAAGGCCAAAGCTAAGGAGAGAGGGATTCCTGTCTATGAAAACCACGGAGAGGCCCAGGACAGAGGATTGCTCAGAAAACAGCCTGGATAAACTATTGAGTGGAACATGGACAAAGCCAGGAAAAAACAATGCCATATGATTCCTTTCATATAAAATTCCCAAAAACACACATGAATCCATACTGATAGCGCATCAGTAGTTGCCTGGGGATGGCAGAGGGCAACGGATAACTAAGGGGCATGGGGAAAGTTTGGGGCTGATGGTTATAGCCACGATCTGGACTGCAGTGATTGGAGTCCTTGGTTGCATGCATGTGTCAAGCTTATCCAATTGTGTACTTTAAATTATGTCTAGTTTATTGAAAGTCAATAACAGATTAAAGGAAAACAACCCCACTGCTCCATTAGGGAAGGCAGCTGTGCCTCTGGCCAAGCAGAGGGGCAGAAGCCCAGCAGTCTGAGCTCTACTCCTGACTCTACCTCCACTGCTAAGCTACCTAACCCCCAAGCCCCAATTCCCTACCTGCAAAAGGGGGATAAGAATACCTGCACCATCTTCTTCACCAGGTTAACGGGGTTAAACAAGAGAAATCCTCCAAAAGCCTTTTCTGGGCTGCAGAATGAGCAGTTGGGTTTCTCTCACGCCTCGCGTTCCGTGTGCCTCCTGGCGTCCTCACCCACTTCTCTGCCTCTGCAGCTTCCAGATGCTGTATGCCGACTGCTACATGAACCGGGAGGAGTTCTGGGAGATGTTTGATGGCTCCTTGTACCACAAGCTGCGAGAGAAGCTGGGTTGCCAGGACGCCTTCCCCGAGGTGTACGACAAGATCTGCAAGGCCGCCAGGCACTGAGCTGGAGCCCGCCTGGAGAGACAGACACGTGTGAGTGGTCAGGCATCTTCCCTTCACTCAAGCTTGGCTGCTTTCCTAGATCCACACTTTCAAAGAGAAACCCCTCCAGAACTCCCACCCTGACAGCCCAACACCACCTTCCTCCTGGCTTCCAGGGGGCAGCCCAGTGGAATGGAAAGAATGTGGGATTTGGAGTCAGACAAGCCTGAGTCCAGTTCCCCGTTTAGAACTCATTAGCTGTGTGACTCTGGGTGAGTCCCTTAACCCCTCTGAGCCCGGGTCTCTTCATTAGTTGAAAGGGATAGTAATACCTACTTGCAGGTTGTTGTCATCTGAGTTGAGCACTGGTCACATTGAAGGTGCTGGGTAAGTGGTAGCTCTTGTTGCTTCCCGTTCAGCGTCACATCTGCAGTGGAGCCTGAAAAGGCTCCACATTAGGTCACCTGTGCACAGCCATGGCTGGAATGATGAAGGGGATACGCTGGAGTTGCCCTGCCATCGCCTCCATCAGCCAGACGAGGTCCTCACAGGAGAAGGACAGCTCTTCCCCACCCTGGGATCTCAGGAGGGCAGCCACGGAGTGGGGAGGCCCCAGATGCGCTGTGCCAAAGCCAGGTCCGAGGCCAAAGTTCTCCCTGCCATCCTTGGTGCCGTCCTGCCCCTTCCTCCTTCATGCCTGGGCCTGCAGGCCCACCCCAGCCACCACTGAGTCCACTCGGAGTGCCCTGTGTTCCTGGAGAAGGCATTCCAGGGTTGAATCTTGTCCCAGCCTCAGCCTGGGACACCTAGGTGGAGAGAGTGGTCTCCGCTCTGAATTGGATCCAGGGGACCTGGGCTCATTCTTCTTGGCTCACCAACCCTGCAGGCCTCATCTTTCCCAAAACCCACTTTGTCTTGGTGGGAGTGGGTCCGCGCTGCTCTGCAGCAGGGGCTGGGGAGTGGACAGCATCAGGTGGGAAAGTGGAGTCCACCCTCATGTTTCTGTAGGATTCTCACCGTGGGGCTGGAAGAAAAGAGCATCGACTTGATTTCTCCAACCACTCATCCCTCTTTTTCTTTCTTCCACCACTCCCCACCCCAGCTGTAGTTAATTTCAGTGCCTTACAAATCCTAAGCTCAGAGAAAGTTCCATTTCCGTTCCAGAGGGAAGGGAACCTCCCTAGGTCCTTCCCTGGCTTGTTATAACGCAAAGCTTGGTTGTTTATGCAACTCTATCTTAAGAACTGCCCAGCCTCAGCTGAAAACCCGAATCTGAGAAGGAATTGCGTCATGTAAGGGAAGCTGGAATTAAGGGAGCTGAGCCAGTCATGGTTGTGGCGTGTGAGTCAGGAGACCTAGGTTTCAGCCCCTCTCTACTGTCAGCGAGCTGTGCAACGTGGGCAAGTCATTGTCCTCTGAGCTGCAGTTTCCTCATCTGTCACATCGCTACAGACAAGACCTCCCTGGAACCCTTCTGATTGTCTTAGACACTGTGGTTGCAAAACCCACGGAAAGCCTCATTTGTGTGGAAAGTCAGAGGAAAAATGATCCAGTGGACACTTGGGGATTATCTGTCATTCAAGATCCTTCCTTCAACCCCAAGGTCAGCTCCCATCTCATTTCCAGAAAGGCTCATACCTGGCTTGCAGGGAAGCATCTGTCTTGTCATTCCAGGTGCCAGAATCCTCTCAGAGTCATTGAAGGGTGTTCACCCATCCCACCCAAGGCTTGGCACACTGCCAGTGTCTTAGCAGGGTCTTGTGAGGGCTGGGGGCATCCAGGCACTCAGAAGGCAAAGGAACCACCCTACCCATTTGGCCTCTGGAGGGGGCAGAAGAAAGAAATAAACCTCATCCTATATTTTACAAAGCATGTGAATTCTGGCATTAGCTCTCATAGGAGACCCATGTGCTTCCTTGCTCAGTGCAAAACTGATGATTCTACTTGCTGTAGATGAATGGTTAACACGAGCTAGTTAAACAGTGCCATTGTTTTGCCAGTGAAGCCTCCAACCCTAAGCCACTGGGACGGTGGCCAGAGATGCCAGCAGCCTCTGTCGCCCTTAGTCATATAACCAAAATCCAGACCTTATCCACAACCCGGGGCTTGGAAAGGAAGGTATTTTGGAATCACACCCTCCGGTTATGTTGCTCCAGTAAAATCTTGCCTGGAAAGAGGCAGTCTTCTTAGCATGGTGAGCTGAGTTCATGGCTTTTTTTTGTAGCCAGTCCTGTCCCTGGCCATCCATGTGATGGTTTTGGATGGAGTTAAACTTGATGCCAGTGGGCAGTGCATGTGGAAAGTATCAGAGTAAGGCTCTCCCCTCCAGAGCCCTGAGTTTCTTGGCTGCATGAAGGTTTTCTTTAGAATCAGAATTGTAGCCAGTTTCTTTGGCCAGAAGGATGAATACTTGGATATTACTGAAAGGGAGGGGTGGAGATGGGTGTGGCAGTGTATGGTGTGTGATTTTTATTTTCTTCTTTGGTCATGGGGGCCAAGGAGAAAGGCATGAATCTTCCCTGTCAGGCTCTTACAGCCACAGGCACTGTGTCTACTGTCTGGAAGACATGTCCCCATGGCTGTGGGGCCGCTGCTTCTGTTTAAATAAAAGTGGCCTGGAAGCTGGCGTTTGTCGTTTCTTGCTTGGGGGACCAAAATGTGGAGTCAGATCTGGGCTCGGGTGCAGGCTGTGCCATTCCCCAACTCAGTTGCTCTCACTGAACCCATGAGCCCATGGCCGAGGGCTAGAAGAACATGCAGGAACTGACAGGTTTATTTCTATCACTGTCAGAGTGTGATTGGAGTAAGTGTTGAAAGGATCCCTCTGTGTGCAGGGTGGCAAGCAGACCAGTGAGAAGGCCACCACTGCAGTCCAGGTGAGACGATGGTGGCTCTGGTTAGGGTGGAGGCCTGGCTTTGTCACTTGGTTGTGACCAATTAATTTTAGCAAGTTAATCCTGTTGAGACTGTTGTCCTCATCTACAAACTAGTGGACCCACTAGCTGTCCATTAAAATGCATTCCTCCATTCTTTGGACACATAGCTAGACTACCTTTCCCAGCCTTCCTTACAGTCAGTTGTGTCCTTGTGTTAAGAGCTTTCCAGTGGAATGTAAACAGAAGTCATAAAAACCTATATGAGGTCTCCTGGCTCTCCCCTTCACTCAGTGCAGATGACAACCAGGCCATAGGTGGTTGGAGAGTCTTATGTCAGAAGGAACCTGGATTCCTGAGTCACTGCAGGAGAAGCGCTTGTGGCCAGAAGTGCAAGACCAAGCCTGAGAAACATAGTGAGACCCCATCTAAAAATTAGCTAAGTATGGTGGCAAGTATCTGTAGGCCCAGCTACTCTGGAGGCTGAGGCAGGAGGATTGCTTCAGCCCAGAAACTTGAGACTGAAGTGAGCTATGATCGTGCTACTGCACTCCAGCCGGGGTGACACAGAGCAAGACCCTGTCTCAATAAATAAATATAAGGCATTACCTGGGCTGGTGCCTGAGAGCCCAACCCAGAGCTCCTTGGTTTGCTGAGCTTAGGCGCTAGACTGGACTGGGTTTGCTGAGCTTAGGCGCTAGACTGGACAATCTGTATGTTGCTCCTCCCAGTTCCAAATCTGAATCTTAGCAGCAGCTGCCTTACAAACCTCAAGCCATGAACCTGGCATCAAGACCTATGAGAAGAAGCAAGAGGGCCACGTAGGGGCCTTGGCTTGGTTTACCAACCTCCTTACAGGAGGGTGTCAACAATCTGTTCACTACCTGACCTAATGGAAGCTGAAAGTAGAAGAGAATTCACATGCGTATCCTTGGAACTTCTAGTTACCCCACTGGCAGACCTGAGGTCTGATCCCTCTGGGGGAGGGGTGAGAAAGGTGTTTGTGGGAGGGGGTCAGTGGTGTGCTGGAATATGGCTTGTACCAGCTTACAAGGACCATCATGCACACCTCCTTCCACTTCCATGTTCAGTGACATTGGCAGCCTGAAATCACCCACAGGGGGAGCATTTACACCACAGAAATTAGCAGCACTACGAATCAGGGCTTGTTCTGTTGTATTAATCAGTGTTCTCCAGAGAAACAATCAGTAGGAGATACACACACACACACACACACAGGCACACATCCCTTAACGAGGATAAGTTCTGAGAAATGCATCATTAGGTGATTTCATTATTGTGTGAATATCACACAGTGTAGTTACACGAACCTAAATGGTACAGCCTACTACACACTTAGCTATATGGGATAGCTTATTACTCCTAGGCTACAGACCTGTACAACATGGTACAGTACTGAATACTATAAGCAATTATAACCCAATGCTAAGTACTTGTATATCTAAACATAGAAAAGGTACAGTAAAAATAGGGCATTATAATCTTATGGGTCCACCATTGTATATGCAGTCTGTCATTGACCAAAATGTTATGCATCACATGACTGTATAGAAAGGCAAGACACATGCAGAGACAGAGAAACAGAGACTTACAAAGTATTGGTTCATGTGATTATGGAGGCTAAGAAGTCCCAAGAGCTACAGTAGGCAAACTAGATACCCAGGAAAGCCAATGATATAGTTCCAGTTTGAGTCCAAAGGGCTGAGAACCAGGAGAGCCAATGGTGTAAGTTCCAGTCCAAAAGCTGGTAGGCTCAAGACCCAAGAAGAGCCCATTTTTCAGTTCAAGTCTGAAGGCAGGAAAACCCTGATGTCCCAGCTTAAGCACTCAGGCAGGAGGAGTTTCCTCTCATTCAGTCCTTTTGTTCTGTTCGTGTCTTCAGTTGATTGAATGAGACCCACCTGCTTTAGGAAGGGCAACCTGCTTTGCTCAGTCTGATTCAATGTTAATCTCATCCAGAAACACCCTCCCAGACACACCCAAAGTAATATTTGGTCACATGTCTGGGCACCCCGTAGCGCTGTGAAATTGACACAGAATTAACTATCACAGGAGGGCTTTGTTTTGTTTTGAGAGACAAACATTTACCAGCATACCACTTAACAGAGACCTCTCTTAATAAGCCCTCCAAATCCAAGCTTAGCAGGAAAGGTGGCTCCTGCACCCTGGCTCTGGCCTCAGTACATTCGCCTCTTAGGCTTCTGAACCTCAGGCATCTCTATGATCATCCCCACTCCCTTGTTAATCATTCTCATTATTGGTGAACCCCCATTCCCTGGCTAATGCCGCCGCAGGTCCAGGAAGAGGGAGTGGATCAACTGAACCTGGGAACAGGTGTAAACTGCTCCTGAGAAGGAGGAGCTCCAAGGGTCAAGTTGGCGAAGGTGAAACTGCCTTCAGGGCCAAAGGACTATGGCAGGGCCGGAGTGGGACCTGGGCTTGCTCAGGCCCAGGACAGGCATCAAGCAGCCCACAGCAATGAGGATGGGAGGACCTGAGCTTTTAACAAAGGGAGCTTCCCAGAGCTGGCCTGGCTGGTGTGCCCAGGGATGTTGTGAACTCAAGGTAAAAAGCCAAAGACCGCACGGTACAACGTTCATGATGGTCAGAACCGTCACCCTTAGGTATTGATAAGAACCTAACACAGCAGATGAAGTCCCATTCTATTAATGTTTACTAAAGCAACCACGCCGTGCAACCTATGTAAACTTGTTCCTCCTGTGGGCCTCAGTTTCTCCCTGTAAAGTGAGCAGCTATGCCAGCCATGCTTCACCTTGCCAAGGCATTGCAGATGACCAGCTGCCCATGCCCACTAGCTGATCTTCAGAACCTGGTTGCAGCAGGACTGCCTATGTGTGATGCCCACTCATTGTTACGTTACCTGTGGTCCATGTTGCAAGGTGGTGCTGAAGGCATAGTAAGAACCTGGATGTTAAGTCTGGTGGCATGGCTTGTAAAAGGCTATTTTGGCCTGCTCAGGGCTTCCCACAACCTGGCAGCATCTCACACTGGAGTGGGAGAGATCACTACCCTCCTGAGCAACCAGGGAGGTGCTAGAACCTGCTGTTGCTTTTTTAAGATGTATGTGCTGGAGGGTTAAACCCAGTCACCTGCAGGACCACTTCAAGAGATGGAACTAGAATTTGGTGGTTATTAAATATTTATTTATTCATTTCATTTTTGGCTGTGGAGCTTTTTCCCCCAAACAAAAGCGTTTAGGGAAAGTCCAGTATATAACAAACGTGGAGTTACTTTGAGTCAAGCTGGGTGCGGCCAGGAGTCCAGCCCTCATGGTCAGGGCCTGTGCCCTCCTTCTCCAGGGATTGCTGGAGGCCGCAGCAGAGTCCAGTTAACAACCTGCAGAACTCCATGTCCTCTTATGGCCCTGCCCTGGCAGGAGGGCAAGGGTCACAACAAGCCAGATTTTAGCTCAACATCCAAAGGACCCTTTTACAATCATAGCTGCCCTGCACTGGGAAGGGCTGTCTTGAGGGTGTGCAAGAAGAGCCTGGACAGACAGATGGAGTTATTGTCGCAGAGCAGAGCAGTGGTCACCAAATGAGGTTCCCAAGCCCAGGGTGTAACAGGATGATCCATCGGGATGCCTGAGAAAATGTTAGTGTTTGTCTTGGTTTGGGTTTCCCTAGAAGCCAACCCTAAGACAAAGATTTGAATGCAAGCAGTTTATTTGGGAGGTGAAGAAAACACCAGCAGGGGAGTGGAGAAGGGATGACAGCCAATAATGGGTTCATTCTCAAGCAGGTTACCACTGGGGGCCACTACAGTGTAACTGCACTGGGAAAACTGGAAACCAGTGTAAAACATGCGTTTCAAAGGTACATCCCACAAGGGCTGAGGGAGCTGGTATTTATACACCAACTTCCCTCAGTGAGGGTAGCTCCAGAGGGATGTGGAGTTCCTGGCACTTCTAGCCCTCCATAGGCAGCAAAGCCGGCCCTGGCAGCCAGAGAGCCTTTTGCTCCATTATAGATGAATGTCCCTCCCCAGCACACATTATTTTTGTAACACACATGAACTCATTCTTATCTCATGGCAAAATATTTAAAAGAATTGCCTAATTTAAAGTTGTGGCCAGGGGCCAGACACGGTGGCTCACACCTGTAATCCCAGCACTTTGGGAGGCTGAGGCTGGTAGATCACTTGAGGCCAGGAGTTTGAGACCAGCCAAAACCCCATCTCTACTAAAAATACAAACATAGCCGGTCGTGGTGGCTCATGCCTGTAGTCCCAGCTACTTGTGGGGCTGAGGCATGAGAATCGCTAGAACCCAGGAGGCAGAGGTTGCAGTAAACTGAGATCCCACCACTACACTCCAGCCTGGGCGACAGAGCAAGACTTTGTCTCAAAAAAAAAAAAAAAAAAAAAAACAAAAAAAAAAACTTGTGGCCAGGCTCGGTGATTTATGCCTATAATCCCAGCAATTTAGGAGGCCAAGGTGGGAAGACAGCTTGAGCCCAGGAGTTCCAGACCAAGCTGGGCAACATAGCAAGACCCTATCTCTGAAAAAACAAAAACATTATCCAGGCGTGGTGGTGCAGCCTATAGTCCCAGCTACTTGACAGGCTGAGAGGTGTGAGCATCACTTGAGCCCAGGAGGTCGAGGCTGTAGTTAGCCATGATGACACCACTGCACTCCAGCCTGGGCTGGACACAGCAAGACCCTGCCTCAATAAATAAATAAATGAAGTTGTTACACAGGTTTCTCTTATAAAAAGGCAAGCATCACAAATTTGCTGACCTTCTCTCTCTTTTTTTTTTTTTTTTTTTTTTTTTTGTTTTTTTGAGACAGAGTCTTGCTCTGTCGCCCAGGCTGGAGTGCAGTGGCTTGATCTCTGCTCACTGCAACCTCTACTTCCCAGGTTTAAGCAATTCTCCTACCTCAGCCTCCCGAGTAGCTGGGATTACAAGTGCCTTCTACCACGCCTGGCTAATTTTTTTTTCGTATTTTTAGTAGAGACGGGGTTTCACCATGTTGGCCAGGCTGGTCTCGAACTCCTGACCTCAGGTAATCTGCCCACCTTGGCCTCCCAAAGTGCTGGGATTATAGGCATGAGCCACTGCACCTGGCCTTGCTGACCTTCTCTACAGTGACAGTGACTGTCTATAATATGATAGCTGATAGAGATATTTGAACAAATATACTTATTTTGTAAGGTAAACAGTCTCTTTAAAAAGTTTTATTGCATACATTTTAACTCGTTTTATTACTTTATTTTTATTTGTAATTAATTCTACAGAAACATCACAATGGTAGTAGAGCAATCCCCCTCACTTGCCTTCCCCTGATGTTAACATCTTTTTTTTTTTGAGACGGAGTCTCGCTGTGTCACCCAGGCTGGAGTGCAATGGCACGATCTCAGCTCACTGCAACCTCTGCCTCCCGGGTTCTAAGCGATTCTCCTGCCTCAGCCTCCCGGGTAGCTGGGACTATAGGTGCCCATCACCACGCCCAGCTAATTTTTTTGTATTTTTAGTAGAGACAGGGTTTCACCATGTTGGCCAGGCTGACCTCGAACTCCTGACCTCAGGTGATCTGCCCGCTTTGGCCTCCCAAAGTGCTGGGATTACGGGCCTGAGCTACCACACCCGGCCTGATGTTAACATCTTCTACATGAACTAAGATAGTTGTACCATTTTACACTTCCACCAGCAGTATATGAGAGTTCCACATTCTCACCAACACTTGGTATGGTCAGTCTTTTCAATTTTAGCCATCCTAATAGGTGGGTAGTTGTATCTCATTGTGGTTTTAATTTGCATTTCCTTAATGCCTAATGACATTGAGTTTATTTTCATGTGCTTATTTGCCATCCATATATCTTCTTGGTAAAGCGTCTGTTACATCTTTTATACATTTTTTATTTTGTTGTTTCTTATTGAGATATATATGAACTCACATATATATTCTGGATGTAAGTCCTTTATTACAGCAGTCCCCAGCCTTTTTGGCACCAGGAACCGGTTTCATGGAAGACCGTTCTTCCACAGACCAGGGTAGGGCGGGGTGGCAGGGGAGGATGGTTTCAGGATGAAACTGTTCCACCTCAGATCATCAGGCATTAGTTATATTCTCATAAGGAGCATGCAACCTAGATCCCTCACATGTGCAGTTCACAATAGGGTTCGGCTCCTGTGAGAATCGAATGCCGCCGCTGATCTGACAGGAGGCGGAGCTCACCCACTGCTCACCTCCTGCCTCGAGGCCTGGTTCCTAACAATCCCTGGGGAAGGAGGGCACAGGGGCTGGCCACGAGGGCTGGTCTCCCGGCCTCACCCAGCTTGATTCAAAGTGGCTACATGTTTGTTATATTGGACTTTCCCTAAAAGCTTTTGTTTGGAGAAAAAGAAAAAAAAGAACTCCTCAGCCCCCAAAAATAAATGAATAAATGTTTCATAACCACCCAATTCCAGTTCAGTTTCTAGAAGTGGTCCTACGGGTGACTGGGTTGAACACTCCAGCACATAAATCTTAAAAAAGTAACATCAGGTTCTAGCACCTCCCTGGTTGCTCAGGAGGGTAGCAGTTTTTCCCCACTCTTAACGTCCAGGTTCTTAGTATGCCTTCAGCACCCCCTTGCAACATGGACCACAAGTAACATGACAACGAGTGGGTGTCAAACATAGGCAGTCCTGCGGCAACCAGGTTCTGAGGATCACCTAGTGGGCATGGGCACCTGGTCATGTGCAATGCGTTGGCAAGGTGAATAAAGATGGCTTTACTTCTTCAAAAACATTTGTTTTGACACAGGAGAATAACTGCTTTTTGTAAGACACTCGCGCATGGAAGAAAGTGTTTCAAGTATTTTTTATCATTATGTGTGCTTTGTGGACGAAACTGTGGTATCCCAGTCTCCTCTAGGGACAACCTGCTCCCCCATTCTCACTGACATGAAACAGTGAGGGAAGGGTGCCCACAAGGGCTGACTCAGGGGTGAAACCGATGTTCCCCATGGCTGGACATGGCCTGAGGTCAGCAGTTTCCTCATCAGTGAGGCCCTGCTAAGCTTCCAGAAGCATCCTGGGATGGCAATGAGGTGTTCCTGCAGAGTCCTAGAATTGCCGTGTAATACATGCTACACTCTCCCACCACTTTCTGAACTTTAATAAACAAGGAGCCAAGCACTCTGGCTTTAGAATAGAAAGGGTCCCACAAGTGTCAACTACGTCCCATCCCTTCAGTCCATCTGCTCTCTGGCCCCCATGTTCATGTCACTGGCTGAGTTGAGTTCTCAGGATAATTGATCTCCTGCAACAAAAGATACCTGTCCCCAGCTGTCCCGGAAGACACTGTGACCTTCAGGTATGCAGCTCTGGCAAAGGTGATCCCCATACATCTCTCCCCTCTCCCAAGCCCATGTGTCCTTTCTCTAAGACACCCCACTCCCATGCCCATGCTGTCACCCCCAGATTTGTCTTCAGGCCTTTGGGCTCTCTGGTCACTGCAGGCTGTCCTTCGCATGTGGCTTTAAGGAGTAGGATCTGAATTGTAATCCACAGTTGGAGGGCACTTTCCCTTAGTAAATGGTGTGATCCTTTCCCTTTAAAAAGACAGAAAAAATTAAAAAAGGAAGTGATCCCTTGGAAGGGAGTGAGCTCCTCATCCCTGGAGGGACACCCATAGGGAATGAACAGGTACCTGTTGGTTCTGCTTCACAGGAGATCCTACATTGGTGAGAGGCCAAAATTGATGACTTCTAGGCCTTTCCAACAAAACAGCCTGATTCTAAGGATGGGATTACAGCAATTCACACTCAGTTCAGCTCATTAAAGCACCCAACTTGGCTTGTAAGAACTTCAGGTATAAAATCATAGTCCCTGGAAAATTATCTAACCCAACCCTGAGAGGAAGACCAAGGACCAGAGAGAGGAGGGAACTTACCTGAGGTCACCTGAAGGCCAGCATCAGGGCCAGAATGTAAGCCCTGACCTCAGTCCCACTTTCCCTCCACTGCTCCAATTCTTTCCCATGAGTGGAAACCCTGAGGACTCAACCTCCCATCCCGTGAGCCCTTTGGAAGATGGCACTTCCATAAGAACCCCTTGCTGTGTGTGTCAAACAGCATCTGCCAGCCCTTACGTTACACACTTTATGTATCTGTTTGTTGTCTGTCCTCCCCAACAAGATGTGAACTCCATGAACGCAGGACTTGCACTTCTTCATTGGTATTTCCCCTATGCCTAGATCATTACCCATGCTTAACAAATATTTGTCAAAGGAGGGAGGACTCACTAGGGTAAGAGAGGTCTTTCCCACCATCCAGTGGGTCTCCACACCTCCTGTCTCTCCATTCCTCACCATGCCCACGGCCCCTGGCCCAGCCCCATGCCTCATTTCTCATTTCTACTATTGAGGCAGCCTCCCTGTCTCTATCCCCGCAACAGTCCATAATGCCCTAAGTATGTTTATTAAACACAAGAATTACTTCCCATTAAAATCCTTCTGGATATCTGGGAAAAAATATTTGCAAAACACGTATCTGATAAAGGACTTATGCTTAGAATATCTAAGGAACTAAGCAGCCCATTTGTTTAAAATGTGCAAAAGATTTGAAAACACTTCACCAAAAGAAGACATCAGAGGATGCCTATGAAAAGATCCTCAACATCTTGTCACTGGAGAAATGCAAATTCAAACCATAATGAAATATACTATTAGAATGGCTTAAATTAGAAAAGAAAAACCCTGACAATACCAAGTGCTGACAAGGATGCCAAACCTTTAGACCCCTCATACGTTGCTGGTGGGAGTGCAAAATGGACCAGCCATTTCAAGATAGTTCAGCAGCTTCTTACAAAGTTATACACACACCCACCAAATGACCTAGAAATCCTACTCCTAGATATTTACCAGAGAGAAATAAAAACATACGTCTACATGAAGACCTGTATTTAACTGTTTATAGCAGCTTTATTAAAAATTCCCCAAACTGTAAACAATCCAAATGTCCCTCAACTTAGGAATGGATAAACAAACTGTGTCACAACCATACAACGCAATCCAACTCAGCATTGAAAAGGAACAAACTGTGATACACACAACAACAGCATGGCTGAATCTCAAGACCACCGTGTAACATGAAAGAAAAAGATACAAAATTCTACATACAGATGATTCCACTTATATGACATTCTGGAAAAGGCAAAACTCCAGGGATGGTAGAATTGCCAGGGTTGGCAGTGGGAGGAGTAGACTGACTACAGATAGCACAAGGGGGATGGGAATATTCTATATCTTGCCTGAGGTTATATGTATGACAACTACATGCATTTGTCAAAACTCATAGAATTGGGCTGGGCGTGGTGGCTCATGCCTGTAGTCCCAGCACTCTGGGAGGCTGAGGTGGGTGGATTGCTTGAGCCCAGGTGCTCAAGATCAGCCTGGGCAGAATAGCAAAAGCATGTCTCTACAAGAAATTTAAAAATTAGCTGGGTGTAGTAGTGCACACCTGTAGTCCCAGTACTTGGGAGCCTGAGGTGGGAGGATTGCTCGAGCCCAGAAGGTCAAGGCTGCCATAAGCCATGTTCATGCCACTGTGCTCTAGCTTGGGTGACAGAGTGTTGACACTATCTCAAAAAACAACAACAAAACCTCATAGAATTGTATACCTAAAGAGAATGAATTTTACTGCATGTGAGTTATGCTATAATAAGTTCAACTTTAGGCTGGGCATGGTGGCTCATGCCTATAATCCTAGCACTTTGGGAGGCCAAGGCAGGTGGATCACCTGAGGTCAAGAGTTTGAGACCAGCCTGGCCAACATGGCGAAACCCTGTCTCTACTACAAATACAAAAATTAGTCGGGCGTGGTGGCAGGTGCCTGTAATCCCAGCTACTCAGGAGGCTGAGACAAGAGAATCGCTTGAACCCAGGAGGCAGAGGTTAGAGTGAGCCGAGATCGCGCCATTGCACTCCAGCCTGAGCAACAGAGCAAAATAAAACTGTCTCGAAAAATAAATAAATAAATAAATTCAACTTTAAAAAAATTCTGTGGCTTCTCAAATACAGAATAAAGTCCAAGCAGCTTAGCTATAGCATTCCAGCCCTCTAAGGACTGACCGAACCACCTCTCCTGCCTTATTCTCCACTATTCCCCTCTACACACCCCACACATCACTCAAAATGGGCCATTTAGTATTGCCCAGATATGTCCTGAAGTTTTTGCTTCCTTTCCTTCGCTCATGCTCTTCCCTCTGTCCTAATTTTTTTTCTCCTCCCTGGAAGAAGAAAACCCTTGAGGAAAGAACACAGCTTGGAGCCAGATGGACCAGAGATCCAATCCTATTTTGCGATTGTACTAGACAAAGAGCAAAAATGGCCCAGGCCTCCATAGCTCCTTGTATTGGTGGCCTTTCCAATGTGACTTTGCAGCCTCTCCCATCAAGAGGTAGAGTCTACTCCCCCCAATCCCTGCCCCACTCGAATCTGGGCTGGCCATGGAACTTGCTTTGGCCAACAGAATGTGGTAGAAATAATGGTGTGGCATTCTGAGGCTGGGCTGCAAAAGGCCTTGCACACTTCCTCTCTCAAACCCCAGCCTCCTCCATAGGAGCAAGCCTGGGCTACACCACTGAAGGCCGGAGTCTGTGTGGAAGAGTCTAGCTGTTCCATCCAAGACCATCCCAGACCAGCCAGCCCCCAGCCAACCCATAGACTCATGAACAATAACAAATGGCTATTGTTTTAAGCCACTGAGTTTCTGGGTGGTTTGTTATGTAGCAATAGCTAACTGCTACAGTGAGTAACTCGCTGTGGCCCTGGGAAAGTTACTCAGTTTCCTCACCTATATAATAAAAGCAATTATTACATACCTCACAGAGCTTTGTGATGCCCATGAGAGATGATTTTTTTTTTTAATTGAGATGGAGTCTCATTCTATTGCCTAGGCTGGAGTGCAGTGGCGGGATCTCAGCTCACTGCAACCTCCACCGCTGGATTCAAGTGATTCTCCTGCCTCAGCCTCCCAAGTAGTTGGGACTACAGGCACCCACCACCGCACCCGGCTAATTTTTGTATTTTTAGTAAAGACGTGCTTTCACCATGTTGGCCAGGATGGTCTCGAATTCCTCACCTCAGGTGATCTGCCTGCCTCAGCCTCCCAAAGTGCTGGGATTACAGGCATGAACTACTATGCCCAGATGAAAGATGTTTATACAGAGCTGAGTACAGTGCCTGGCACACAGTCAACCTTTGATTAACAGTTGTTACCCCTTTCCAAGCCCAACTCTTATACAGCTTTTGAGAACCAGATCAAATGCCACTTCTTCCAAGCAGCCCTCCCTGCTTGGAAGGCTCCAAATTCAATATAATATTTGCCTCCTCTGAACTCCCATAGTATTTCCTCTCTCCCACTCCAATACACTCTATCCTCAACTATAAGCAATTTGGAAAAACAGCCATAGCCTTAAACATAGGTATCCAGTACAGATATAACTCAATGCCAGAAAAAGATGAAATGATCTGTATAGATTAGGGACAGAAAATCTGTTCTCCTGGCTCCCAGGCCTCTGCTCCTTCCAACCATTACACACAGCCCCCTTCAAGGGTGATTCCAGCAGACTTCCTTGCACGTTGTTGGCACTCAGTAAATGTATCCTGAATTGAATCAGCTAAATTGGGGGTGGCATTTTCCCCCTTGGGGGCAATGAACACATGCAGGAGGGTTTTGGGGTCGTCCCAAAGACTGGGGGCCACTACTCCCCAACCAGTGGGCAGGCACCTGGAATGCCAACTGTCCCACCACTGGGCAGGAGAGTCTGGCACCATGAAGAAGAGGCGCCTCACCCCTCCCACATGCCAGCAGTACCCTGCTGTGCAGTGCTGGGCTATGGGGAAGGAGTTGGATGGCAAGTCTTACACTAGACCCTGGCCTGTGAGACAGGCTTCATTGTGCCCATTCTACAGCTAAGAAAAGAGAGTTGTGCTTAGTAGCTCAGGGCCACACAGCTAAGAGATGCCAAAGTGGAGACTTTAACCTGCATCTTCTCCCGATGTTCACCAACTTGTTGGAGCCTCAAACGGGCCATGTCAGGGTGAAAAGTCCATGCTGATCTGAAGGCCATCAAGCAGACAACACAGAGTGGAGTCCAGGCTACCTATGGGGACATGGGCTATAAATGCTGACGTCATTTGGGGAACAAAATATGCAACAGGAAGGTCACATGACTTGTCAATAGCACATGGCTTATAAACAACAGAACCACAGTCCCCTACCTCAATCTAGGACTCATTTTTTAAGGGTCTACTGTAATATTTCATAACCCCCTGAAGGTTTCCTACCTGAGCAACTGGTAATTCAGATATGAGAAGGCAAAGGTGAGTCCCATCCTAACATTACATCTTCCAAGTGGCATTTTCCAAAGATTTCCTCCCATGTCAACTGCACTTTGAAGAATGCTTACTGGCTGCTTGATTTGCAGGTATTCATCAGCAGAGACCAGACTCCTCCATCAAGACTCGGCTGATCCCACCCCACCTGATTCACCTGGCTTCGTTCTTCCATATCCCCTGCCACACCCCACCCTCCCGCTGCTCGGCCATCCCTGATCAGGCCAGGCTCGTTTACCCCTCACGGCCAGGCTAAGGATATTCCAGCCCAGAATATCCTCCATCTCTCCAGGCCACCTTTCCAGGTAGACATGGGCATTTCTGCCCCACACGCTTATGGCACCTGGCTGAGCCCTCCTTCATGTACCTGATGCTAAATCAATCCTTCCTGTCTGCCCCGTTTGCCTGAGACCTTCTGTGTTCTGACCCCTAGCAAATGTCCACTAAATTCAATTAAATCATCAACTTTTTTCTCCCCCACCCCCTACCCCCATCCAAGGCCAACGTTTCTCCCTGTGCTCAGAGTGATCACCCCTCCAGCCCAAGCAAAGAGCATGTTCCACCACCTCACAAGAGAATCTCCCCCTCCTTCCCTGCCCATCAGCCAGAAATATGCTCAAGTCTCTACCCCATCCACCCCCACCAGAAATACAGAGAGGAATAAGGAAAGGGGGACACAGGGAAGGCAGGCAGGCAGGCAGGCAGGCAGGCAGGCAGGCAGGCAGGCAGGCGGGCAGGTAGGCAGGCGGGAGGGCGAAGGGGGAGGGAGGGAGAGAGGGAAGGAAGGAGAAATGAAAAAGTAGGGCCTTCTCTCCCGACTGCCTTCCCTTGGAGTTAAGCCCAGTTTCCCCTGGTGCCACACAGTCTCAACGGCAACCACCTGACTTCTGTGTCCCAGAGTAAACATGCAGAGGGGTTTGAGGGGAGAAGGAGAGGACTCCACATGCTGAGCTTCCTGAGTCCCTCTTTCCTACCCAAACTTCCAAATCTCACCAAAACAGCATGCACAAAGGGTAAAAGGAGAGTGATCAAATAAGGTCAGGTGGGGTAAGGGCAGGAAGATGGGTCATGGTGAAGGCCAACTATGCCTCAGCCTTCCTGGGTTCAAAGAGCCTTCCCTTCTGCTCTCATCTTCCAGAAAGCTTCGGGGGAAAGAGTGGGCAAAGTGTTCTGGACAGAGAGAGAGAAGTCCTGGGCCCGACCTGCCTTCATCCCTCTTCTCAGGCTGCCCTGTAACTCTGGGGAGGTGGGTGAGTGCCCTCCCCATGAAGCTGGAGCCACTCTGGACCAGACTGCTGTCTGATTCTCTTCTGCAGTGTCCTAGGAACCAGCAAGGTGCCTGGCACACAGTAGGTGCACAATCAATTTTTGAGAAATATATGCATCAATGCCGTTTACTAACAATGACTTTGGAAAATCACTTTTTCTCTTCAAACTTCAATACTCTCAACTGAAAAGCACTGAGCATAATCCCTACCCTTTAAAGCTATTGCATACAATAAGTACATACAAAATCACTTTGTCTGGCCAGGCACAGTGGCTCATGCCTGTAATCCCAGGACTTTGGGAGGCCGAGGCGGGCAGATCACTTGAGGCCAGGAGTTTGAGAACAGCCTGGCAACATGGTGAAACCTCCTGTACAAACATTACAAAAATTAGCTAGGCGTGGTGGCACACACCTGTAGTCCCAGCTACTTGGAAGCCTGAGGTGAGAGGATTGCTTGAGCCCAGGAGGTCAAGGCTGCAGTGAGCCAACATTGCACCACTGCACTCCACCCTGGGTGACAGAGCAAGACTCTGTCTCAAAAAAACAAAAAACAAACAAACAAACCATCACTTTGTCCATTTTAAAGATATTCCAAGAATATAATAATTTATTACTGTCGTTACAGAGGATAGACATTTATGATTTCCATTTCAGATTTCTGGACAAAGAATATGCCTTTTAGCTTCAAATACTAAAAATGCAGTATGCGTGCTGGAGCATTTAGGAGAAGGTATACTCATGGCTGCCATTTCCTTTGAACTTTATCAAAAATGAAAGATAATTAACAGATGGATAGACAGATAGGTAGAAAGATAGGTCATAAAGCAGGAAGAGTAAACCATTAGTGGTACAGGTTGAGCTTCCCTTATCTGAAAATCTAAAATCCAAATGCTCCAAAATCTAAAACTTTTTGAGCACCGACATGATGCCACAAGTGGAAAATGCCACACCTCACTTCATGTGATGGGTGGCAGTCAAAACTTTGCTAATGCACAAAATTATTTAAAATATTGTAGAAAATTACCTTTAGGCTGTGTGTATACGGCATGTATGAAACATAAATGAATTTCACGTTTAGACTTGGGTCCCATCCCTAAGATACCTCATTATATATATCCACATATTCCAAAGTCTGAAAAAAAAATCCCAAATCCAAGACAATTCTAATCTTAAGCATTTCAGACAAGAGAGACTCAACCTGTATAATCTGAGTAGTGGGTATATAGGTATACACTGTAAAATTCTTTCAACTTTGCTATATGTTTGAAATTTTTGTAATAAAATACCAGGGAAAGAAACTTAAAAGGAAAAATAAACTTCTGCCAAATCAGACAAGAAGTTTCTCATGAGTTCCTTTCATGGAGTTATCAGATCCTGGCCCATTTTATTAATTAATGTACTGACTCATCATTTAACAAATATTCACTGAGTTCCTTCTATGCCTGCCAGCAAGACACCAGAGCTGGAAAGTAGAAAAGTTCTGTATGAACTTTTGAAGCTGCCTGGAAAAAAATCAGGGAAGACTCCCTATTTAAGCAGCGCTATAGATGGGTGAATAGGAGTTTTCCAAACAAAAACTGTGGGGAAGATGTTTCAAGAACAAATCATAGGCCAGGCATGGTGGCTTACCCCAGTAATCCCAGCACTTTGGGAGGCTGAGGCAGGCAGATCACTTGAGGTCAGGAGTTTGAGACCAGCCTGGCCAACATGGTGAAACCCCATCTTTACCAAAAATACAAAAATTAGCCGGCTGTGGTGATGCACGCCTGTGATCCCAGCTCCTTTGGAGGCTGAAGCAGGAGAATTGCTTGAACCTGGGAGGTGGAGGTTGCAATGAGCCATTGCATCCCAGCCTGGGCAACAAGTGCGTGACTCCATCTCAAGAAATAAAAATTAAAAAAAAAAGAACAAATCATAGGGTGGCCAATGTCACAATGTGGGGAAGACAAAGGGAGTGGGTCAGAGCCTGGCCTGGAGCAGAGTTCTGATATCCACATGGCCAGAGGTAGACCAGACGGAGTAAAAAAGACCTTGCTGGAAGATCCAGAAGATCTAGAAAGTTGGCTAGATGAAAAACCTGGCCCACTCATCAGTCAACCACATTTATGAAGCACCTACTGTATACACAGCTCTACAGAATGGAAAACAAAAGGCTGCCTTTCCCACACATGAGTTAAATCCCAGGCTTCCAGGCTGGAAGCCCAGAACCCTACAGTTTGCATGAAGAAGCAGGGAAGAAGGCAGCTTAGGGATGAGGGGTGAGAAAGATTAGCTGTAGCCGCACATTCCAGAAGGAGACTTTACAACTCTCACACATGCACTCCCCCGCCTGGATCAAAGGCAGCGCACTGGTTGAGAACGTGTTGTGTTTTGCCACCAAGGACCTCCTCCCAACCTGGCCAAGGAGGTGAGGCTGAAGCACAGGGTCAGAGTCGGAGCCATGTGTTTCTGGTCCCCGCACTGTCTCTGTTCAGCTGCGGGACTCAGCAATCCCCTTCACCCCATCATTTATTCACACATGAGATGAGGATGACAGGGCAGACAGTCACCCTTCGCATTGCTTTAGCACCTCTGTCATCTGCAGATGTCTACATTTTACACCCGCAATCAGACTGGCTCCTGCCTGACCACCACTCTAGAGAAGAAGGCATTAACATGAAAGAGCTGAGGATCCAATGGGAGCTCCTCTGTCCATTCAGTCTCCATTCATTTTTATTAATTTTTTTTTTTGAGACAAGGTTTCACAGGCTGGAGTGTGGTGGCACAACCATGGCTCACCGCAGCCTCAACCTCCTAGGCTCAAGCAATCCTCCTACCTCAGCCTCCCAAGTAGCTGGGATTACAGGTGCACATCACCACACCCAGCTAATTTTTAAATTTTCTGTAGAGACAGGTCTCCCTATGTTGCCCAGGCTAGTCTCTAACGCCTGACCTCAAGTGATCCTCCTGCCTCGGCCTCCCAAAGTTCTGGGACTATAGGTGTAAGCCACTGCATCCAGCCCATTTTTATTGATTCTTTACTCCAGCTTTATTTTTATTTATTTTGATTTTTTTTGTTTAAACTTACAGAGTTGAATGATTGCTTCTTTTGGTTTCAATCTTTTTTGTTTGATATTAAAACAACTAAAGCCATGAATTTTCCTCTAATGGGTGCTTTGACCATATTACACAGGTTTTGATCTATAGTTTTCATTGTAATTAATGTCTAAATAGTCTGTAACTCTAAACTTGATTTTCCCTTAGACCCAAGAGCTATTTAGAAGAGTGCTTTCCACTTTCCAAGTACTTGGTTTTGGGGTTATCCTTTTGTGTTAACTTCTTGTTTTGTTGTATTATGTTTACAAAAAGTAACCTAAAAATTCCTATGTAGGGTGTTAACTTGTTAACTAACATTTTAAATGAGATTTTCTTAGAGATCAATTTTTATAAATGTTCTATAAGTATCTGAAAATAATGTGGAATAAAATATATCTATTCAAATCCTCCAAATAATTATTTATATATCCTTAGCTGTCAAATTTTCAGATAGGTCTATTAAGAATTCTCATTATTATTATGGGATTTTGTTACTGTTATTTTGGGTGTGTAAAAGTTCATAGTTAGGCTGGGCATGGTGGTTCATGCCTGTAATTCCAACACTTTGGAAGGCCAATGTTGGTGGATCACTTGAGCCCAGGAGTTTGAGACCAGCCTGGGCAACATGGTGAAACCCCATCTACAAAAAATACAACAATTAGTTGGGCGTGGTGGCACATGCCTGTAGTCCCAGCTACTTGGAAGGCTGAGGTGGGAGGATTGCTCGAGGCCGGGAGGTCAAGGCTGCAGCGAGCTGTGATTGTGCCACTGCACTCCAGCCTCTAGCCTAACCCTGTGTCAAAAAAAAAGTTCATGGTTATTATAATTTCTTCATGGATTTTTTTATTGTTTACCATGATTAAATACTCATCTTTGTTCCACTTACCATTTTTGCCTTGAATTCTATTTTGCTTAGTGTTTGTATTACTACTCTTCCTTTTCGTTGTTGGTTACATTTATCTGATATATCATAGCCAGATGTATTTTTACATGCATGTCTTCCCCTTTCTTTTTTTTTGAGATGGAGTTTCGCTGTTGTCACCCAGGCTGGAGTGCAATGGCGCAATCTTGGCTCACTGCACCCTCCGCCTCCCGGATTCAAGTGATTCTCCTGCCTCAGCATCCTGAGTAGCTGGGATTACAGGTGTGTGCCACCACACCTGGCTAATTTTTGCATTTTTAGTAGAGACGGGGTTTCACCATTTTGGCCAGGCTGGTCTCAAACTCCTGACCTCAGGTGATCCACCTGCCTCAGCCTCCCAAAGTGCTGCAATTGCAGGAATGAGCCATTGTGTCCATGTCTTCCCCTTTCTTAAGCTCTCCATGTTAATTCATTTTTCATTTGACTGGAGTATATCCTTCAGTAATATTTTCAGAAAAATATGCATTTCATATATATCCCAATATTTGTGCATCTCTCATTTGCTTTGCAGATGAATGACTGGTTGACTACATAGAGGACTCTACAAAGTCCCAATTCTTTTCCTTGAGAATTATATAAACAGTGTTTTCTATCATTTATGTTTCAGAAGAGAAGTATGAAATATGCCTGATTGTCTTTGATTTAGATTGCAGGTTCAGTGTCATTTTAGATATAATACTAGCAAGATTTTTATTTTACCTTTGAAACCCAGAAATTTCACCACACTTTTCATGGATTGAATGGGTATATTAACCTCTCTCCCTCCTGAAACCTCACTAAAACAAAGTAAAGGAATAAAAATGTTAAGGCATGTACCCACAAGGGCAAAAAGAACAGGAGAAGCAGCAGGAAGAAAAAATATTTTGGAAGTTGAAAAGCAGATGGAAGAATGGTGACTAACCTGGTAGACCTAAGAAAGCTAAACTCCAAATCAGTAAATGGTAAAGCTAAGAATCCCCCGACTCCAAAAGACTAAGGAATTGGCAGCACTAGGTACCGCTGGAAGTGGGAATGAAGATGAAACCAAAAACAGGGATTGGTCTATATAATATCAGTTTGATAATCTGTATAATATCAGTTTCTCTCCCCCACTGTCTGCAGCCAGATGAGTGCCCTTCATTTAGCCTGGCAGAAGATTGGAGATTTATTCTCTGGAGATAGATTCTCTATTCAGGATGGCACCAGGCATAGCTGAAATCATGAGTACCATATTTAAAATAGGGAATGGGGCCAGGTGCAGTGGCTCATGCCTGTAATCCCAGCACTTTGAGAGTTCAAGGTGGGCAGATCACCTGAGATCAGGAGTTCGAGACCAGCCTGACCAACATGGAGAAACCTTGTCTCTACTAAAAATACAAAATTAGCCGAGTGTGGTGGCACATGCCTGTAACCCCAGCTACTCAGGAGGCTGAGGCAGGAGAATCACTTGAGCCCAGGAGGCGAAGGTTGTGGTGAGCTGAGATCGCGCCATTGCACTCCATCCTGGGCAACAAAAGCAAAACTCTGTCTCAATAAATAAATAAATAAATAAATAGAAAGAAAGAAAAGAGGGAATTAAATGGAAGTTTAATCACTAAATATTGAGAACTGTAGCCTTTTCCCTTCCACTTAGATCCTAGAGCTTGGACAGCCAAGCTTACAACCCCCAGAGAGGAAAGTTCTAACAGTAGTAACATTGGGAGTTCACCCAGTGAAAACACCCAGCTTGATCATCGTGTGGTGGAGTCCATAATCAACAAGTGCCCCAGAGCCTTCAGAAGGATTTAGAGCTGGACAGGTATGCAGAGCCAAGCATCACCAGACATTCGAGGAAAAACCTCTGATACAGAAGACTGAGGCCAAAATGAACATACAGAAAAATGAGATTTGAAAAAAAAATGGGGACAATGTCAAGCAAATAGTCTTAATATCTTCAAAAAGAATATATTAATCTTTAATCTTTTGAAGATATTTGTCTTAATATCTTCGAAAGATGAGAAAGCACTGCCTTCATGAAACCAGAGCATATTGTTATCAAAGGAACATTCAGAAGACAAAAAATAACTCTTAAAACTTAAAAAACTTAAAAAATATGAATGCAAAAATGAAATTTTCAGTGAGGGAATGGCAGACTTTTTCTGGTCACCTGAAAACAATCAGCAGCTCAGAGGCACTCAGGACAGAACCAAGCACAGGGCAGGTTTTTCAAATGAATCAGTCAGTGAAAGAGTGCATAAAGAAATCCTTCACACCTGTGATCGATCTTCTGTGCCTCCTGGCATCATAATTCTGAGCCAGGAGCCCAAGTAGGGCAAAGGCTTCATGGACAATGCTGAAGTTGAGCCTCTGAGAGAATCATGCCCCAGCCTAACAGTCTGACACCCACAGGGACCTGCTGGTTGGCTTCAGTTTGGCAGCATTCATAAGACTTAGTTAGGCCTCACCAGGTCCCCCAGGGTATAAATTCTTCTGTTTTTACAGATGGGAAAACTAAGGTCTGGAAGACAAAGGGTAACTCTTGGTTGGAGATGGGTCTAAAAGGGGAACTCGTATTCTGTGTAGTTTATCTCAAGAGCTCTTGTCCTCTATTTGTACTATTTTTCTGATTATAAAACAATATATGCTTATTTTGAAAAACTCAAACATTTCAACAAGGTAGAATATGAAAGAATCTGTTAACCCTGCCCTCCGCATGTAATCATGGCCAACAGTGTGGTGCTTAGTCCTCCATATTATGTTTTCTACGCATATGTCAATGCATTTTAAAGTGGGATCATTATTCTTCTATCTTAAAATGTATTTATATGTGTCTTACTCTTTCAGATGAAGCTTATAATCAATTTATCCAGTTGCCCCCTCTGGCCCCATCAACCTCTCTAGGATTTGACTTAAGATGTGTACATCACTGGGAAGATTTAATATTTTTCCAATATCGTGTCTTTTCATCCAGTTATTCAGGCATTCTTTAACATCCATTAATAAAGATTTCTATTTTTCTTCATTTATGCCTTAAATACACCATATTAAGTTTATCCCAAATGTATTTTATCATTTGTGTTGCTAATAAGAATGGGGTCTTAGTAAAAAGAGCCCTCGAAAATAAAATAAATAAAAAAAAAAGAAAGAAAAGAATGGGATCTTGGCTGGGTGCAGTGGCTCACCTGTAATCCCAACACTCTGGGAGGCCAAGGCAGGAGGATCACTTGAGCCCAGGAGTTTGAGACCAGCCTGGGCAACACAGTGGCACCCCGTCTCTCTCCAAAAAAGAAAAATTGGCCAGGTGTGGTGGCACATGCCTGTAGTCCCAGCTACTCAGGAAGCTGAGACAGGATGGTCTATTGAGCCTGGGAGGTGGACGCTACAATGAGCCATGATCATGCCACTGCAGCCCTGGGTGGCACCCCCGCCCTGGATGGCAGAGCAAGACCCTGTCTAAAAAAAAAAATGGAATCCTTTTTTTGCCTCAATTAATTTTCCATTTGTTATGGCTGCAGTATAAGACGAAAATATTCATTTATACACTTTGTTGCCTGTTTTTGCCTTCCTAGCTCTACGGTTTTAAAATTAACTCTCTTGGAATTTTTTAGTAAACACACATATCATTATCAATTGTAATAATGTTGCTCTTCCTTACCAATATTTTATATTTCTTATTTATTTTTCCTGTCTTATTGCTTTTGCTACAACCTCCAAAACAATGTTAAATAATGCCAGTGACACAAGCATCCCTATCTTGTTCTTGACTTCATTGAGAAACCTCTAGTTACTCAATGTTTTTGGCCTTCTCTTTCAAAGCCCTCATCCTCCTCAAGCCTCAAAGGACCTGCTATTTCTCCCCCAGTCTCTATATAAAAATCTCTATCTTACTAGAGGCTTTTGCTTGGGTCTTTGGCAACAGAGGGTGTTTTAAGTAATTGTAGTTTCTCTTCCTGGATGTCATGCATTTTAAGCCTCTGTAAAGAAATTTTTCCTTATATAAATAAGTAAAACAGAATTCTGCCAAGGCAGGAGCAGCTGCTAAGGGAAAAGGAAGCTAGTGTGTGCAACATGCCTCCAAAACAGCATCGATAGGGGCAGTGTACATTCACCTGTGTCATTCATTCAGTCCTCATAATGGACTCTGAAGGTGATTATTAGTTTACCCTCATTTTTCAGATGAGGGAAGTCTTCTCTGAGCAACTTGCCCCAGGTCACGCAGCTAAGTGGCAGACATGGAATTCTAAGCCGGGGTTAGAAATCCTATAATTCTCACCAGCCTGAGTGTTGGATGTGTTAACAGTGGTGAAGGAGAATGCTGAACACAAGAGAAAGACAGATGTCCAGGAGGAGAACACAGGTGTCCAGGGGGAGAGTCCTGCGGGGATGGGGCACCCTTCCCTTCCTTAAAGTCTTTTGCTAAGCAAACAGCATATAGACTGGACTTTGCAAAAGAGCAGCTGAGAGGAGTGGCCCTGCAGGAGTCTGGGCATGGTACTTGCCCTAGCACCCCCAAATCCTCACCTCACATGGGTGTTGATATGTGTAAAGGATATTGCCCAAGAAGGGGAAGGACTAGATTCTAGTGCCAGCTCTGTCACTCACCAGCTGTGTGGCTTTAGGCAAGTTGTCCCCCTCTTTTCCTCTCTCTGGTCCTGGTTTTAACATCCCTAAAATAAGGCTAACTACCTTGACTAGAAAGGGGAAGAAAATGCTTTTGCACCCAAAAAGTGTTTCATTTCATATGATTTACCATTCAACAAGGCAGATGAATACATGCATTTATCTCTGCTTCCTCCTGCAACCCACTAAAAGTATAAAGGAATTTTTTAAAAACAGACAAATAGGAGGGGGGCTTCAAGATGGCTGACTAGAGGTGCGAAGCACTTGCCTCCTCCACACAGAAGGACCAAAACAGCGAGTAGATAACCACACGTTGAATGTAGCAAATGAGAGAACACTGGAATTCAGCATAGAACTTCTGAGGCATGGAAGGAGAAGGAAGCGAAGCAGCTGGCCTGGCCAGGATCAGCTCAGAGCCAGGAAAAAGTCCCCAGTGTGGAGAAAGGGTGAGCAAGAGATCCCCTGTGTTCCACATTCCCCGCACAGGCTCCTGCAATCCTACCCACAGGAGAGCCCTCAGGCCTTGCAGGCCCTGAGACTAATACAGGGGACTTCTGGGGGTACATGTGACAGCATTGTTCCCAAGAGGGAGTTTGCACTGGGTCCCACCGATCCCCTGATACCCAAGCAGCTGCAGCACAGCACCATTTTGAGAGCCCAGTCCCCACCAGTCTACATCTTGCCCTGGAGCCCTACAGATCCTGTATCTCCAAATCCCTGGGGCCCTGCTGACATCCCCTCATGTCCACTCAGACAGCTGCAGTGTTCCAATGCCAGCTGGACCCAGCAGTGCGGCCAGGTCCCTAGCATTCTAGCCCATGCAGTGTCCTACACCCTGGGGAATGGGCAGGGCAGTGTACTAAATAAGCTGACCTAGGGCAAAGAAAGCTGAAGTTTGTGCTCCCCAGAGCCTGAGAGCTAGCTGCCTGGAGCCACTGCCACTAACAGCAACACTACCTCTTCCAGTGGCAGAGCTGCTGCACACCTGCACACTGTTCCAGGGCCTGAGGACAGGCCCACCCTACCTGAACTCTGGTGCCCAAACTCTTAGGCCATCTTGGGGCCTAAGAATCCACCCGCCCCACTTGCCACTGCCAGTGCCCATGTACACCGTCAGGGAGCCCTTAGACAGGCCCATGCTACCTGTAGCCACTGCCACCAGGGCTTGTGCATGTTGTCCAGGGACCTTGGCGTAGACTAGTGCACCTACCCACTGCCCATGCATGCATCTCCCAGGGGCCCAGGGACCTGCCTACTCAGCCTGCCATCACCACTGCTGGCACCCACTCACACACCACCCAGGAGCCTGGGACTGGCCCCTCTTGCTCACCACTGCCACTGCTGGCACCCACATGCACTACTCAGGGGCTAGAGTAGAAGTTTGGCCCATTGCCACTACTGTCACCACCGATGCCATGCATATCACCCAGGGGCCCAAGGACCTACTGGCTCAGCCCGCCACTGCCAACACTAGCACCCAAACATATCACCTGGAGGCCTGAGGACCAGCCCGCCCAGACCTGCCTCTGCCAGCACTCACATATGTTAACTAGGGGCCCAAGGACTGACATACCCAGCCCACTGTGCCACCACTGGTCCCTGAGGACTAGCCCACCTGGCACCCCCACCCCCAGCAAAGCCTTGCTATAGCCTCTCCTAACAACCACAGCCTAAGCCACTAAGAAACCCAAAGACACCACTGATGCTGATCATAGCTGAAGAAATCATACAGAAACTACATTACTGCATCCACCCAGAATCAAAGCCAAAGTACCATACCCAACCAACACTATATATGCATCTACAGGTAAAGGTAATTCCCACCGGGCGTGGTGGCTCACACCTGTAATCCCAGCACTTTGGGAGGCCGAGGCGGGAGGATCACGAGGTCAGGAGATCAAGACCACCCTGGCTAACATGGTGAAACCCCGTCTCTACTAAAAAACAGAAAAAATTAGCTGGGCGTGGTGTCAGGTGCCTGTAGTCTCAGCTACTCGGGAGGTTGAGGCAGGAGAATGGCATGAACCCTGGAGGCGGAGCTTGCAGTGAGCCAAGATCAGGGCCACTGCACTCCAGCCTGGGTGACAGAGCGAGACTCCATCTCAAAAAAAAAAAAAAAAAAAAAAAAAAGTAATTCCCTATGAAAGACAATCATAAAATTGGAAAAAGTGACTGTTATACTAGATGCACACATATGAACACAGGGACACAAGAAACATGAACAAGCAAGGAAACATCATACCTCCAAGGAATACAATATTTCTCCAGTAACAGATCCCAAACAAAAGGAAATCTATGAAATGCCTGAAACATAATTCAAAATAATGATATTAAAGAAAATCAATGAGATACAAGAGAAAACAGATAAAAATTACAAAGAAGTCAGGAAAACAATTGATGATCTGAATGAGATTCAACAAAAAGATATCACTAAAAAGGAACCAAACAGAAATCCTAGAACTGAACAATTCAATATAGGAAATTAAAAATACAATCAAGAACTTCAACAATACACTACATCAAGCAGAAGAAAGAATTTATGAACTTGAAGACAGGCATCTTGAAATAATCTAGTCAGACAGAAAAAAGAAGAAAAAAAATTACAAGATTAAGAAAGTATATGTGACAGAACACCACAATGGAATAAAATATTATAATTTTGAGAGTTCCAGAAGGAAAAGAGATTGGAAAACCTATTTAATGAAATAATAGCTGAAAACATCCCAAGTCTTGCAAAAGATATAGACACCTAGATACAGGAAGCTCACAGAACCCCCAAATAGATACAATTAAAAGGGCCTTCTCCAAGATACATTACAGTCAAACTGTCAAAAGTCAAAGACAGGTCAGGCATGGTTGCTCACACCTGTAATCGCAGCACTTTGGGAGGCCGAGGCAGGAGGACTGCTCAAGCTCAGAAGTTCAAGACTTGCCTAGGCAACACAGACCCCATCTCTACAAAAAATAAAAAGTAAAAAAATATATATCTAGGCATAGTGGCACATGCCTATGCTCCCAGCTACTTGGGAGGCTGAGGTGGGAGGATTGCTTGAGCCTGGAAGGTTGAGGCTGCACTGAGCCATGATTGCATGACTACACTCCAGCCTGAGTGACAGAGCGAGAACTTGTCTTAAAAAAAAAAGTCCAAAACAGCAGAAACCTTACAAGCCAGGAGAGCATAGGATGATTATTCAAAGTGCTGAAAGGAAAAAACAAACAAACAAACAAAAAAACTGCCAACCACAAATACTACACCCAGCAAAGCTATCATTCAAAAATGAAGAAGAAATAAATTATTTGCAGCATAAGCAAAAACAGGGAATTATTCACCACTAGACCAGTCCTACAAGAAATGCTTGAGAGAGTCCCACATCTAGAAGGGAAAGAGCGACATCTACAATCATGAAAACATACAAAAGTATTAAGCTCCCTGGTAGGGCAAATACACAAATGAGAAAGAGAAAGTAGTCTAACGTTATCCCTACAAAAACCCACCAAATTGTAAAAGTAAACAATAAAAGAGGAAGAAAGGAACAAAAGATATATAAAACAATCAGAAAACAACAAAATGACAGGAGTAAGTTCTCACCTATCAATAACAACTTTGAATGTAAGTGTTTTAAATTTCCCAATTAAAAGATATAGACTGGCTGCTGTCTAGAAGATAACTATCTGCTGCCTACAAGAAATTCACTTCACCTGATAAGACACACATAGATTGGAAGTGGAGGGATGGAAAAAAATATTCCACAAAAATGGAAACCAAAATAGTGCAGGAGTAGCTATACTTATATCAGGCAAAACAGACCTTAAGTAAAAAAAAAAAGAACATAAAAAGAGACAAAGAAGGTCATTAGATAATGATAAAGTGGTCAATTTATCAAAAGAATATAACAATAGTAAATATATATGTACTCAACACCAGAGCACTTAGATACATAAGGCAAATAATATTAGAGCTAAAGAAAGAGATAGACTTCAATACAATAATAGTTGTAGACAAGACCCCACTTTCAGCATTGGAAAGATTATCCAACAGAAAATCAACGAAAAAATGAGACTTAATCTACACTATAGACCAAATGGACCTAACAGGCATTTGCAGAACATTTCGTCCAACAGCTACAGAATACACATTCTTCTCATCAATACATGGAACATTCTCCAGGATAGACCATATGTTAGGCCATGAAACAAGTCACAACAAATTTTTAAAAATCAAAATCATACCAAGTATCTCCTCAGACCACAATAAAATAAAACTAGAAATCAATAACAAGAGGAACTTTGGAAATTGTACGAATAAATGGGAATTAAACAACATGTTCCTGAAAGACCACTTGGTCAAGGAATAAATTAAGAAAGAGGCCAGGCATAGTGTCTCATGCCTGGAATCCCAGCACTTTGAGAGGCTGAAGTGGATGGATCACTTGAGCCCAGGAGTTCAAGATCAGCCTGGGAAACATGATGAAATCCTGTCTCTACTAAAAATACAAAAAAATTACTTGGGCATGGTGATGTGCACCTGTAGTTCCAGCTACTCAGGAGGCTGAGGTGGGAGAATCATGAGCCATGGAAACACAACATACAGCAAAAGCAGTGCTAACAGGGAAGAAGAATATAGCAATAAATGCCTACATCAAAAAAGTAGAAAGATTTCAAATAAACAACGTAACAATGCACCTCAGGGAACTAGAAAAGCAAGAACAAATCAAACCCAAAATTAGTTGAAGGAAAGAAATAAAGATTAGAGCAGAACTAAACAAAATAGAGACTGAAAAAAAAAAAACCAATACAAAGGATCAGCAAAATGAAAGGTTGGTTTTTTGAAAACATAAAATCAATAAACATCTAGGACTTCTAGTACTATGTTAAATAAGAGTCGAACAAGACAAGGATGCCCACTATCAGCACTCCTATTTAACACAGTACTGGAAGTCCTAGCCAGAGCAGTCAGACAAAAGAAAGAAATAAGGCCGGGCGCGGTGGCTCACGCCTGTAATCCCAGCACTTTGGGAGGCCGAGGCGGGCGGATCACGAGGTCAGAAGATCGAGACCATCCCGGCTAAAATGGTGAAACCCCGTCTCTACTAAAAATACAAAAAATTAGCCGGGCGTAGTGGTGGGCGCCTGTAGTCCCAGCTACTTGGGAGGCTGAGGCGGGAGAATGGCGTGAACCCGGGAGGCGGAGCTTGCAGTGAGCCGAGATCCCGCCACTGCACTCCAGCCTGGGCGACAGAGCGAGACTCCGTCTCAAAAAAAAAAAAAAAAAAAAAAAAAAAAAAGAAATAAGAGGCATCTAAATTAGAAATGAGGAAGTTATAAATTGTCCCTCCTTGCAGACAACATGATCTTATATAGATAAAAACCTAAAGACTCCATCAAAACTCTTAGAACTGAGAAGTGAATTCAGTAAAGTTGTCAGAATACAAAATTAACATACAATAATTAGTAGCATTTCTATACACCAGTAACTAGCTGAAAAAGAAATCAAGAAAACAATCCCATTTACAATAGCTGCCAAAAAATATACCTAGGAATAAATTTACCAAGGAGGTGAAAGACCTCTATAATGGAAACTGCAAAACACTGATGAAAGAAATTGAAGAGGACACAAACAAATGGAAAGATATCCAATGTTCATGAACTGGAAGAATTAATATTGTTAAAATGACCTTACATAGAATGGTATTATTCTAACACCATGCAATAAATGGTGTTAGAAAAACTGAATATCCATAAGAATGAAACTAGACCCCTCACTATATATAAAAATCAACTCCAAATTGATTGAAGTCTTAAATGTCAGACCCAAAATTGTAAAACTACTAGAATAAAACATAAGGGAAAAACTTTAGGACACTGGTCTAGGCAACAACTTTATGACTAAAACTTCAAAAGCACAAGCAACAAAAACAAAAATACACAAATAGGACTATATTAAACTAAAAACTTTTGCACAGCAAAAGAATCAATAGAGTGAAGAGACAACGTGTAGAATAGGAGAAAATGTTTGCAAACTATTCATCAGACAAGAAATTTATATCCAGAATATTCAAGGAACTCAACAGCAATAATAATAATCCCATTTAAAAAGTGGGCAGGCTGGGTGCTGTGGCTCATGCCTATAATCTTAGCACTTTGGGAGGCCAAGGTGGGCGGATCACCTGAGGTCAGGAGTTCAAGACCAGCCTGGCCAACATGGTGAAACCCCGTCTCTACTAAAAATACAAAAATTAGCCGGGGGTGGTGGTGTACACCTGTAATCCCAGCTACCCAGGAGGCAGAGGCAAGAGAATCGCTTGAACCCAGGAGGCGGAGGTTGCAGTGAGCCAAGATCACGCCACTGCACTTCAGCCTGGGTGACAGAGCGAAACTCCATCTCAAACAAACAAACAAAAAAAGTGGGCAAAGGACATGAGTAGGCATTTCTCAAAAGAAAGCATACAGATGCTCAACAGATAAATGAAAAAATGCTTGACATCACAAATCATCAGGGAAATGCAAATCAAAACCCCAATTGAGGGATATCATCTCACCCCAGTTAAGATGGCTACTATCAAAAAGACAAGAAGTAACAAATGCTGGCAAGGATGTGGAGAAAAGGGAGCTCTTACATGCTTTTGGTGGGAATGCAAATTAGAACAGCCATTATGGAAAACAGTATGGAAGTTTCTTTAAAAAACTAAAAATAGGCCAGGCGTAGTGGCTCACATCTGTAATCCCAGCACTTTGGGAGGCCGAGGTGGGAGGACCACTTGAAGCCAGGAGTTTGAGACCAGCCCTAGCAACATAGTGAGACCCTGTCTCTACAAAAAAAAAACAAAACTTTTTCAATTAGCCAGGTGTGCTGGTGCACACCTGCAGTTCCAGCTACTAGGGAGAGTGAGGTTGGGGAATTGCTTGAGCCTGAGAAGTCGAGGCTGCAGTGAGCCATGTTCATACCACTGCATGTAAAACAGGAAAAGAAAAGAAGAGAGAGAAAGAAAGCAGAAAAGAAAAGAAGGAAGGAAGGAAGGAAGGGAGAAAGAGAGAAAGAAAGAAAGAAAGAAAGAAAGAGAGAGAGAGAAAGAAAGAAAGAAGGAGGGAAGGAAGGAAGGGAGATAGGGAGGGAGGGAAGAAGGAAGGAATGAATGAAGGAAGGAAGGAAGGAAAGAAGGAAAAGAGAGGGAGAAAGAAAGAAGAAAGAGAGAAAAAGAAAGAAAGAAAAGAGAAAGAAAGAAGGACAGAAAGAAAAGAAATATGGGGGGGAGGGAGGGAAGAAAGGAAAGAAGGAAGGAAGGGAAAGAAGAAAGGAAGAAAGAGAGGAAGGAAGGAAGGAAAGAAAGAAAGAGAAAGAAAGAAAGAGAAAGAAAGAAAAAGAAAAAGAAGAAAAGAGAAGAAAAGGAAGGAAGGGAGGGAGGGAGGGTAGGGAAAGCTGAGGAGACACTTGCCAACTCCTGCCACAAAACCTCAGAAAGTTCTAGGAATGGGACACACAGGTATCTTCAAAAACAGGTGAGGCCGGGCACAGTGGCTCATGTCTATAATCCCAGCACTTTGGGAGGCCACAGTGGTAGGACAGCCTGAGCCCAAGAGTTCAAGACAAGCCTTGGCAACATAGTGAGACTCTGTCTCTACAAAAATAAAAATTAAAAAGTAGCCAGTCATGGTGGCACGCACCTATAGTTGCAGCTACATGGGAGACCAAGGTGAGGATTGCTTTGGCTCAGGAGTTCTAGGCTGCCGTGAGCTATGATTGTGCCACTACACTCCCACCTGGGTAACAGAATGAGATCCCATCTAGACATGACCTCCTGCTGACTCCTCACCCAGCCAGCAGTAGACTGGAGGTTTGGTTTGTGGATAGATTCCAGGGGGCTAGGAGGAGGTGCACAGTGGAATGTAGGCAGACAGGTCCCACAATGAGAAGAGAGGGGGTAGGAGGCAGTCCATACGCTGAATGAGACAGCCCAGTCTCCTTCCTCTGATCGCCAACAACCACACTTACCCCCACCCAGGACAGAGGATTGTTTTCTAGAGAAGCTGAATAGTCCCACAGAAAACACCTAGAGACACTGGCATTTGAGGGTCTCAACAGAAAGACCAGGGCCCCTGCCAATCACTCACAGTGACTGACAGGCCCCAACCAGACTCACAGTATTATTTAGTGCTTTCCTCTTCAGTATGAACAAACAAGCAAAAGAAAAAAAGGAACTTGGAAGAATTGGAGACAACACAGGGGGCAAAAGAACTTCAGGAAAACTTAATTAACATCTTTAGATAAAAGAACATACTGCAGCCAGCCGCAGTGGCTCACACCTGTAATCCCAGCACGTTGGGAGGCTGAGACAGGCAGATTGCTTGAGCTCAGGAGTTCAAGACCAGCCTGGGCAACATGACAAAACCTGGCCTCTACAAAAAATAACAAAAATTAGCCGGGTGTGGTGGTGCATGCTTGTAATCCCAGCTACTTTGGAGGGTGAGGCAGGAGGATCGCTTGTGCCTGGGAGGCAGAGGTTGCAGTGAGCCAAGATTGCATCACTGTGCTCCAGGCTGGGCGTCAGAGTGAGACCTCATCTTAAAAGAAAAAAAAAGAACATACTGCACACTGCATACATGACACAGAACTGGGTGCTATTAAAAGAAGAAAGAAAAGAGCAATCCACAGCAAAAGAACTCTTGGAAACTAAAAAATATGATAGCCAAAATTTTTAAAATAATAGTAGGGTAGATAAGGACAAGAAAATTTTACCAGAAAGTAGAACAGAAAGGTAAGATGGAAAATAAGAAAGAAGAGAGAGAGAGAAAAAAAAAGAAAACTAGAGTGCCAAACCAGGGCATCTAACATTCATCTAAAAGAGATATCTGAAAGGCAGCAGACAGAACACAGAGGAGAGGAAATCGTCAAAGACAAAACTCAGAAGATTCTCTCAGAATAGAAGGTGCTGAGTCTCCAGATGGAGGGAAGCCACTAAGTACCCAGCACAAAGGATGAAACAGACCCATGCCAAGATGCATCAGAACAGGAAGTACAAAGAGAAGATCCTGAAAGCTTCCAGGAAGGAAATGCAGGTCACATACACAGCACAGAAAACCAGAAAGGTATAAGACTTCTCAGCAACCATATTTGAAGCTAGGAGGCTATGAAAGGCCTTCAAAATTCAGAGGGAAAATTATATCCAACCTAGAATTTTATTTCCAACCAAACTATTGATCAGATGTGCAGAAAGGAAAAATAAGAAACATTTTCAGGCATACATTCTATCAAAAATCTTTCCTTCCTCAGCCCTTTCTCAGGAACCCACCAGAACAAGGGGGTAAGTTGAGAAGGAGGAAGACACAGCACTACTTTGATAAAAAATAAAATATTCTTTAAAATTACATTTAAAAGCTGATTTCTCCTGAGAAATCTGGTCCTCAGAATCTGGTCCTCATGTCCTCACCATAATTTCAAAAAAAAAAAAATACTGGATTATAAAGTGCATGTTTGTCAACATTGTAACATTTCTGAAATTGTTACTATATTACAATGGATGGCCTCTTAGGTCAATCAAATATGGCAGCAGCTAACATTTACAAGCTGTTGTATAGTTTGCCACAGTATTTAATGTACCTTTCCCTTCTTAGGCTTTGCAACCTTCTGAAATGAGTTTTACCAACCCCATTATGAACACCAAGAAACAGATTCCACGTGGTGAAGCCACTGAGAGCCGAGACTGGACCGTATGGGCTCTGGGTGGCAGATTTAAGGTTGATTGAGTACCTTTTCCTTACCAAGGGTTTTCAACAGATCATTTCATTTGGGTCTCCTCAAACATCTGCTCTTTTGACAGCTGAAGGAAATGAGGCTCAGCGAAGTTACGCAGCATGCCCCACCTCACACTTACAGTAAGTGGCAGAGCCAGGATCTGAACGTGAACGTCCCTCCACTGCCTCTGCTGTTTGGCTGGCATTAGGGGCAGAAGCTGTGTTCCCATGGGAACCAAACATGGGGAACCACCAGCCCACCCCAGAGTAAGACCCCCCACCGCCCTCGCCCCTTCGCCTGCAGCTCCAGCTGCACTCACTGCATGAGCATGTCCCGGGCCAGGTCTGAGAGGTAGCGTTTGGATCCACTCAGGAATAGGGATCGATATCGCTGCCGCCTGTCCTTTGTCTCCATCAGCCAGGTGTTGAGGTAGCGGCCCACACCTACTGGGTTCTGCAACAGGGAGAGGATGGCAGGACATTAGCAAGCCTGGCTTGGAGACTGTGTCTCGGCTTCCTCTCCTCCCCTTGGACGCTTCCCTACTCCATCTGTTATGAGTTGAATTGTGTCTCCCAAAAAGATATGTTGAGGTCCCAACCCCGAGCAACCCCAGTATCTCAAAATGTGACCTTATTTGGAAAAAAGGTTGCTACAGACATAATTAGTTAAGATTAAGTCATACTGCAGTAAGGTGGGCCCTTCTTCCAATGTGACTGGTGTCCTTTTAAGAAGAGATACACAGGAAGACAGCCATGCCAGGAGACAGGCTGGAGTGACGACTACAAGCCAAGGAACATCAAGGATTGCTGGCCACCACCAGAAGCTACAAAGAGGCAAGGACAGATTCTTCTCAACAGGTTTCAGAGGGAGCACGGACCTGCAGACGCCTTGATTTCAGACTTCTCGCCTCCAGAACTGTCAGAGAATATTTCTGTTGCTTTAAGCCACCTAGTTTGTGGCAGCCCTAGGAAGGGAATACAGCATCCCACCCAGATATCGGGGTCACAGATCCTAGAGGCACCAACAGAGAGGTTGAGAAAGGAGATGCAACTTGCCCAAGGTAACACGGCAAGGGCAGAATAAAGGCAGGACAAGAACCCGGCCATCTGCAGAGAAGCAGTCCTGAGGGGTGGGCTGGGGAGATGTTAGGACCCAGAAGCTGGTCCCATGCTAAACAGAAGTTGCCTCCCACAAGGGAGAAGCCTGTTTCATGAGGCACCCAGGTTTTGGAGGTGCCAGCAGAGGGGCTCTCCCGCCCTGTGGGGTGCGGTCAGCTGAGCCACCAGAACCCGGACCTCACATCAGCCCTTCCCACTTCACAGTGGCTGGCTCTGTGGTAGCAGTAGGGTCATCTGGCTCTGGTCTAAACATTTCATTTGGGGACTCTCAGGTAAAGACTTTCTCCCCTGCAGGGGGTGCAGGCTAGAGGTAAAAAAAGGAAGGATTCGGGGACAACCAGCTGGTCCTCACAAGAATCAGTCACTGGGGTCTGGGCACACTGAGGACCTTGCCACCATGTGGGGAGGTAAGGAGGTGAGGCGGCTGACCTGTGCTACTGGAAGTCAGGAGAACAGGCTATCAAATTGGGGTGGGGGTGGGAATGGCAGGGGCTCTTGGGGAGCTGGAAATGAGAGCTGTTAAATGCTCTGGGGGATAGTTACGGCCATTATGTGACAATTCATGGAGCTGTGCACTTAGGACTCAGCGCCTTTCTCTATGATTATTAGACTCCAATAAAAGGTGCATTACAAACTGAAAAGGGGTGGAGTAAGAAACAGAATGAGGTCAAAGCCCAAGGCCAAGAATTTAGCTGGTTTACAAGAACACTAACTAAAGATACATCGCACACTTGGGGATGGCTGCCTCTGGAGAGAAGGAAGAGAGTGGGAAAGGGAAGGGGCCAGAAGGGGGTCTTGCTCAGTGAGGGACGGGAAATGCACCAGCTTCACCAGCTGCCCCTGAGGCCCAAGACAAACACAGAGGATGGAAGGAGCATTTCTCTGGGAAAATAAGAGAATGGCATGGCTGCGGTGTGATGTTTCTTAGCTAATTGGTTCTCAAAGTGTGGTCCCTGGAATAGCATCATCGCCATCACCTGAACTTGTTGGTAATGCAAATTCCCATGTCCCAACCCAGGCCTACTGTATCAGAAGCTCTGGCATGGGGCCCAGCCATCTGTGTTTTAACAAGTCCTACAGGTGATGCTAATACCAGTTCAAGTTTGAGAACCAATGCCTTAGGAAAATAAGACAGTGGGAGTGGACCTCAGGTCCCTTGGGGAAAAGAAAGGGGAGGCATATGGCTCACTCAAAGCATCGGTTACCTGGGGACAAAGAGGCTTTGGTGTTGGCTGTAGAGGCAGGAGAGAGTTCCCATGTATCCCTCACCCCAGACCCACTTACCCAGCTTCCCATAATCATCTGGCAGGCCTTTGCACCTGACCCCTTGGAGGTCAACAGGAATGGGGGCTGGTTGACGGGTTTGCATTTCTTCTCTTGTGGAAGCCAGAAACTGGGGCCAGATGTGGCCTACGAGTAAGGAAGGAAGGCTGAAATCTGGAGAGGCTCTGGCAGTGTCAGCCTGGGCCCAGGGCAGGTGAGGGCTCTGGCCAGCTGACTCCACCCATCCAGCAGCCCTGGGTCTTGAGCCAAGGACGGTGGAGGTACCCAGCTATCTCCCGGCAAAGGGGCCCTCATGACCCATGCCACCCACTCTAACAAACACCCATCACAGCCTGATGCCTCTTTTCAGGTGTCCAAGGGCCTTCATTGTCTGGTGGGGCCCAGACAGCTGAAGACCCCATTTCTGAGGAAGGAGACCACACCAGACTTGGAGCCAGATGAGCTGGGTTCCAATCCCAGCCCCGTCTCACCCTTGCTGGAGAAACTTGGTAAATCCCTTTCCAGATCTGGGCTTCGGTTTCCTTTAGTGAAATGCAGATGATAATCCCTACCTCAGGAAGGCTGGAAAGTGCCTAGCGGGGGCAGACCGTGCTTTGGGGGCCTGCTCAGACCCCCAGAGGGCCTGCTTTGACACTAGGGCCGAGTGCACCACTCCCTTGGGCGGAGCAAGTGGGCAGGTCCCAGTGGGTAGACTGCACTCTGCCCTGCTCCAGTTTCCCCTGCCCATCCTCCAACGCTCTGAGGCCAGAGGAGGGAGGTGCAGGGGGAAGGTCGGCACTGGCTGGGCGCTTCCTGGGTACCAGGCACCATGCTGTAGGCTCCGAGTACAGGGCCTCATCTAATTTCCCACAACCACTTCACCATCTTCATAGGACAGGGGTATAAACCGACGCCCAAAGTCTCACCTAAAGTGTCCCAATGTTCCAGACCAGGATTGGAAACCAAGTCAGTCTGATCCCAAGACTGAGCTATTCCCTATGAAATTAGCCACCCTACCCCATGCCCAGCCCCGGAAGGAGAGCTGCCCTCCGAGAGAGGAAGGCCGGCCATAGGAGTGAACTCACCAGTGTGCGGGGGCACTGGCTGAGGTTGGCCCAGTAAATCCTCTCTGTAGGGGTTTTCGGGTTTCGGGGAAGTTTAGAAAAAACCCCATGCTTCTTATTGTGATGTGAGTTAAGTTCTTCTACAAAGCTCTTGAAATTCATCAGTTCCCTGGGCTTTTTTTTCTAAGAAAAAGAGAGAAAAAGGAATCTGCTATGCCAGGAAAATCAAGAGCTCCTTTCTCAACCCTCCCCCGCAACCAGAGAAAAGCAATGGGGCATCACTTACTATCCTGCTGTGCAGACATCCCGGAGGCCGGAGGCCGGGCCAGCCTCAAGGCCCCCCTGACAAGGGCTGGTGGAAACAGACAGTCTTTCCCCAACCAGCGGGTCGGGGCGGGGTTAGTCTCTTGCACCATGCACCTGCCACACCCTACTGCCCAGCTCCTTTTCATCCATTTCTTCTTTCTTTCATTTGTTGGACATGTATTGAGTCTGGCACTATTCTAAGCAGGAACGATGTCTTAAATATTTAAAACCAGAGTGACTGGAGGAGCACAGAGGATTTGGACGGCAGTGAAACTATTCTGTATGATACTAAAATGGTGGCTGCATGTCACGCATTTGGCCAAACCCACAGGATGTACACCACCTGAGTGAACCCTAAGGTACGCCACAGACTTGTGGTGATAATGACGTATCAGTTCTTCAACTGCAGCAAACAGACCAGGCTGCTGTGGGATGTTGGTGGTCGGGGAGGCTGTGCATGGTGTGGAGAGGGCAGTGGGTATATGGGAACTCCTTGTACTTTCCACTCAATTTTGCTGTGAACCTGAAACTGATCTAAAAAAAAAAAAAGTCTCACAAACAAAAGCAAACAGCGTGGCCTGGGCGCTGGCCAGCCAGAATGGGCACTGGCCACAGTGCCTGAGGAGGGTCCCTTGACCCCTGCCATAGCTGGTCATGGGGAGGTCTGGGGGGCTCCAGGGAGCAGCCAGGTCGAAGGCCTCAGCTCAGTGGCTACCTGCCAGCTGGTCCTGAGGTCCTTCTACGTTAACCACCACCCTCCTCAGCACTCCTGAGCTCTGCCGTAGCACTCATTGCCTGCTCACACTCGATAATTTTTTTCTTATTCATTGATGACTGAGTTTCTTTCCCCACTAGAATGTAAGTTCCGCAAGGGCTGCTTTCCCCTGTACCTCACCTACTACCTGGCTTAATCACACCCACCGCGAGAATGCATAATGGAGACAACATAAACAGGCAATTAGACAAAACCTAATTCCAGTGGCTATGAGCACAAAGCAAGCAAAATGCAGCAAGCTGTGAGATACCAAGACAAAATTCTACCTCAAGTTCCCCTCCTGGGCCTCCTGTTCTCTGCTTTGTTAACAGCGCTGGCCCTAACCCAGCCAGCTTGGTCTATAATGCCTGCTGTTTCCAAAATAGGAGGATGCTCCCACCTTCTGCCATCAAGGTTCCTCATGGCCAAGCTCCCCTGGCACTGTGGGCCATCTTCACCTCCTGGGCACTTCATGCCAGTGCAGAGGAGAGAGTTGGCAGTGAAGTCAGACAGACGTCCTTGGGTTCAAATCCCAGCTCTGCTCCTTCCAGCCATGTGGCCAGCCTCAGTTTTCCCTACCTAACATGGGAAACCGGATCCAGCCCTGGCTGTGAGGGTGAAGTGAGGGGGTGTGGGAAAGGCCCGGTGCAGAGCCTGGCACACAGGCTGGTGTTCCTGGTGCTGACTAGTGAGGCCTGTCATCCTGCTGGGGCATGGACTAACACCCTTCAACCCCTGGGTACACACCTGCATGGAGTAGTGCCCATAAGGCAGTGGCTTGCTCCGATCACCAGAGAAAGTGTCATAGGGGCCGCGGGTGCCGACGGATCGTGCCACATATGTCTCAAGGTCGCTTTTGAAGAAGTAGGTGCCGGGTCCCAGACCACTCCCCTAGAGCACAGCAGAGGTGATGAGGCCTGCAGGAGAGCTCAGCTTCCCCCTCTGCCCTGGGAGTGCCCCTGCAGGACGGGAAGGCAGGCAAGGCCTGGCCAGCCGAGGGGGTACCTGATGAGGCCGGGGGTGTGGCTTGTTGCTCATCCTGCACATGAGGCCCTCGGAATGAGACCGGTTCCAGGCATTCTCCTCCAGCTTGGTGTATGGGTTACCCTTCTCCCCATAATTTCCAGGGCCTGGATAGTAGTTCTGTGGGGCGGGGGTGGGGGCATGGAGGCTGTCAGAACCACTCCTTGTGCTGAGTGTGCCTGAGGAACAGACACCTGAGATTGCCATCCCCAAGAAGGGAATGGGATTTTCAGGGTGTCCGCTTGCTACCTGCCCTCTGACACACAACATTGTTGCCCGTGAGCGTCCACCACTGCTCACACCTTCATCTCCAAGTTCAGCCTCTTCCCCAGCTGAACTTGGATTGGCCTGTGCAAGTTATATCTCACTGCCTCCTCCTTACATTGCACACTTTGGCCAACATAATGGGCTTCTTGCTGCTCCTCAAGCACATGTCATTCTGCCCAACCTTCTTCCCTCATTGGCTCATGCTGTAACCACCACCGGGAATGCCCTTCCTGCCCTCTTTGCCTTGGACAATTCTACTGCTCCTGCAAAGCCAGCTCACATGTCATCTCTCCTGGGAATGAAGCCTTCCTCCTGCTTCCACCTGAGACAGTTGCCTGCTTTGGTGGATTTGGCAATTCCAACCTTTACACCCCTGCACCACAGCCCTGCGTGACATGAGGGCTTTCTCAATGTGCTGTGAACAGTGCTGTGACAGGGAAGGACTGCCGTTCTGGGTTCAGATCCTGGCTCTGCTGCCTCCTAGCTGAGTGACCTCAGGCCTTCTGTGTCGCATGGTCCATACTGGTACCATGGGATAGGAATACTGTCTTCCAGGTAATGACGATGAAGTTAAATAATGTCTGCAAGCAAGGGAAGGAGGTTGGGTGGAATGGCACGTGCTTGGGGAGCAGCGAGGAGCCCACCATGTCAGAGTGTGGGATGCAGGGAAGAGGCAGTGAGACAGAGCATGGACGGGCCAGTAGGGCCCTGGAGAAGAGGCTGAACTTGGAAGTGAAGGTGCGAGCAGTAGTGGAGGCTCACAGGCAACGGTGTCTGGCACAGAGTGGACACTGGCACATGAGAAGTCAGGGTGGGGTGGCTGAATGCCTTGCGGGGCAGGAGGAAAGGTTAGCAACTGGTTGGAATGACCATCTGGGACCTGGGCTGCCAGGGTCAGAAGCGTGATTTTGTAGGCAGAGTGAAAAGTGCAGTCCACATTGGGTAGAGACCTGGCAGGACGTTTTCTGCTGCTCTGCACCTTTTAGCCATGCGGGGTCACTGCTGCTCCATAGATGGCTCAGCCATGCCCTACCTCTGAGCCTGGAACCCGGCCCTGGGGAAGCAGGATGGGGCGGGAAGGGCAGGGACCTCTGCGTGGGGAGTCAGGCCACTAAGGGCATCAGATTTGTTCGCTCCCAGAGGAATGGAACTACATGTCTCCTTCCAGGGTTCCCACGTACATTCTGGAGAAAGCCCCCAAGGATAGCTGGATCCCTGCATGGTGTGTTAGGTGCTTCACCAGCCTTAACATCTTGGTCCTGGCAGTGACTGGGGGAGACCAAGTCAGCACCATCCACAATTAACAGATGGGGAAACTGAGTCTCAGAGAGGCAAACTGCATGTCTGAGGTCCCACCGCCAGAAAGAGACAGCATGAGAGTTTCAACTCCAAAATCCACAACCTTTCTGAGCCTCTACTGTTTGCCAGGCTCTGTGGAAGGCACCGGGGTGGGTTGGCAGTGAGCACCACAGGACCTGGGAGACTTTGAAGATGAGGGTTATACCAAGGGTGAGAATGGCCCTGCTCCTGGAGCCCAGAGGCAAGCCCAGCGCTGGGCACTTTCTCAGGATAATCCTATTTTCTTCCTTAAAACCTTCAGGTTCAGAGGTTCAGTACCACACTTGGGCTGATGGGAAAGCCTACGGTTTTAACTAGAATGTTACGTTGTCTGAGCTTTGGGGACTCAAACAGGAATGATTAATTGGAGAGGGGGAGTGTGGAAATGAATGAATCATCACTTTTAAGTTTTTGGTTTTAGGGGTTTTTTTTTCAGGCTGGACTTTGAAAAGGATCCCCAAAGACAGGTACGAGGGAAGGTGGGAAGGCCCCCCAGTGAAAAAGAGCAAAGGCAGGAAGGAAACAGAGTCAGGCTTGTCCCCCTAGCTCCCCTGCCATCAGCTTGGCTGAGTTCCCACACCCAGGCCTTGGTCTCCACAGAGACTCAGGGAGCAAAGTCCAAGAACTATGGGGGCCAAACCTGTGGGTGAAATGCAAGGTACATGTTGGACACCTGGGATTCAAAAGCCTACTTCTGCCAGTTGGTAGCTTCATGACCTTGGGCAGTAAGTTACTCACTCTGTACTCCATTTTTCTCATCTGTAGAATGGACATAATGATAGTGCCTGCTTCATAGGGTTGTCATGAACATGAAATTAATTAGTACATGGTAAGTGCTATGCTACATGTCCACTATTATTACTTTAGATTGGACGGTAATGACATTTTTAAATGCTCCAGGTATCCCCTCTCCCTAAGGTACAGTTACAGCTTCTGCACCTGAAGGTGCATCTGCTCATCCCCAGACCCTGTCAGGAGTAATTTCCAGCCCTCACAGAAGCATTCCCAGTGGTGAGGTGTAGGAGAAAGACCCTGGCTCTGGGGTTGGACATTCCCATGTCTGCATCCCAGCTTGCCCACTTAGCAGCTGTGCACTCTGGGGCAACTTGCTTATCTGCTCTGAGCCTCCAGGGCCTCATCTGGAGTGATTGCAAAGAATTAGAATGTTTTGGAGCACCTGATACTTAGGATGCATGCACTTATTCAGTCCACAAATACTTATTGCGTGCCTATGTGTGCCAGGCACTGCAAGAACCTCAGAGTGCTGCAGTGAAGGAACCAGGCAGACGTGGTCCGCCCTCAGGGGCTGCTGTCCAGTCACACACAAGAAGAAGAGGCTGCCAAGGGAGGAAGGGCATTCCTAGCAGAGGGAACAGCAGGGGCAAAGCCCCATGTGAAAGAGCATGGCCTATATGAGGGGCTGGGAGGATAACAGAGTATCCAGCACAGAGAGGTCCAGGCCAACAAACTGCTGTGCTGGCTCCCTTGGTAGGGGGTGACTCCTGCTTTCTCCCTCGTGCCCTTACTGAGTGTCAGCCTCACTCAGTGTCCTCCTGATGAGATCATCATCCCCTGGCGCTGCCACCCCCACCTCTCAGCACCATCGCCTCCTCCCAACCCTGGCCCTCTCGAAGGTCTTCCTCTAAAAAGGTAAGTTAGGTCCTCTTCCTGTCAAAGCCCTCCACTGCCCTCCCCCGGCAGCACCTGGAATAACACCAAGGCCCCACCTTGGCTGCAGGGCCCTCATGACCCAGCCCTTCACCCCTCTGCCCTCTCGCTCGCCTCCTCTCACCCTCGGCCAGTGCCCTCTGGCCACACTGGCCTCCTGCCTGCCGGTCTGATTTGACAAGCATGTTCCCACCTCAAGGCCTTAGCCTCTGCTGCTTCCAATGCCTGGAATGCTGTACCAGACATTGCAAGTCTCCGTTGCTCACGACCTGTAGGTTTCCTCAAATGTCACCTCCTCCCAGAGCCCTGACTACTCTCTATCAATTGCACCACCATCACTGCCTGTCCCTTGCCTGTCTAATTTGTGTTCATAGCCCTGCTTATATACGTATTATATTTCCTTCTTTGTACTACTATTTCTACCACTAGGACATCTACTTCATGAGAGCAGGGACATTGTCTTCGTCACTGCTAGATCCCCAAGGTCTAGGACAGTGTATGCCACTTAGGAGGTGCTTAATCCTTATTCCTGGCTGGCTGGCTGGATGGATATGTAAGTGAATGAATTTGTTGGGCACCCAGTGTATGCCAGGCTCTCTGCTTGGGACTCCAGACATGAGAACACCTACCCCAGTGAGTCCTCGGAAGCGAACCTCCCCAGAGCTGAGCAGCCCCCGGGTGCTACATGGTTTCTCCCGCAGCTGTTCTAAGAAGTCTTTGAGGTTGTAGGAGCCGGGGCCCAGCTTTTGCTCCTGTGCCAAGAGAAGAGAGAAAATGAAAGCCTTAAACTTGGGAAAATCCACGCAGGAAGAAGCCCAAGGCACGATGGTGTTCCTTAAAGGATAATCTCCATCTGGCCTTGGGAGGACACTGAAGGCCACACAGAGCAGCTGCAATGGACAGGAAGACCTGGCACCAGAGAGGGAGAGGCATGGCCCCAGAGGCCTCACCTTCAGCCGCTTCTCTTTCATGATGGCCTGGTACTGGAAGTGGGGTAGCTGGGTCAGCCGCGTGGCTTCCTGGGCCTTGGCCCAGCCTGTGTCCACCTCCTTCATCAGCTTCTTCTTGCTGAAGCAGGTCTCTTTGGAGCTGTAAGTCCCAGGGCCTATGTGGGACTGAGTCAGAGTGTGGTCAGAGCTGTGACAGCCACGCCCGCCCAGTCTACCCACAGAGCAGGCCCTCACCAAGCCACCACCCTGACCCGGAGGAAGGGAGTAGGCAATCCCCCTGTGGCTCCCACCCTCAGCACTAAGGCTGGCACCAACAGGCTTGGCACTCAAGGTGCAATCGTGACATCCTCTATCACTGCCCCCTCACACTGCAGGAAGGTATAACAACTCCTTCAAGAGCCCAGAGGTAGTCAGTGCACAAGCTGGGAGTGCTGCAGTCCCTCGTTTATCAAACACACTGGAAGCCCCCACTGTGGGTCCAGCTCTGTGCTGGAAGAAGGTAGAAAGTACGCCCCTTCTACAGCTCAGCTCATCCACCACAGCAGGCAGCTCGAAGGGGCAGTGGCCAGACCCTGTGGGAGGAGTCAGGGAAGCTGTGCAAACTCACCACTTGGGTAGAATAACGCGTGGAGTATGGGGCCTCAGTGAAGGTGCTGAACTTCTTCCAGTTGGGATAAACAGCAGAGATGTCAAACCTAGGGAGGGACGGTGGCCCAGTGAGAGCCCTGTGCCTGGCACCTGGCCCTGGCGTGGGCAGTTCTGGAGCATGGGGGAGTTGGCTGCCCGGGAAGGTGACTTTGGAGCAAGCTCATGAAAGAAAAGTAGTGGAGTTGCAGTGGCTTTGAATGTTCCAGGCTGCTCCCACCCCACCCCACCCCACCCACCAGCTCCTCCTCCCAGCTTCATTTTTCTCCACAGTCCTTACCAATACCCAAGGTTTTACAGATGTACATACTTTTGTTTATTACCCACCCCCACCCCCCACAGAAGAGAGCAAACTCCATGAGTACAGGGGTTTGCTGTTGTGTTCACTGCTGTAGCCCCAGATCCTAGAACTGTGCCTGGAACACAGTAGGTGAGAGAGAGAAAGAGACAGAGTGGAATATGAGTGAATGGAAGACAGACACCTGGGCTGAAATCCCACCCACCACTTTTGAGCTGAGTGGCCTACTATGGACCAGGCCATGTGACCTCTCTAAACCTGGCACATAGTAAGTGCTCTTGAAATGGTTTTAAAGAACTCACTTAGATGGTAAAAGAACCCTGGGCAGGGAAGAGCACTAAGCAAGAGGGGGAGAGAAAGCCCAGCCCCTCCTCACTGCCGGCCCCCACTCCTCTGGTTCCCCTCCCCGCCAGGCTCAGCCCTGTGTGTAGGTGGACACCCTCTCTCCCGAGGCCAAGCGTGGCTTCGGGGTGGGCAGCAGCTGCTTTGGACCGTGGGCGTGAGCCCAGGACGCAAACGGGCCCCACCTGTGGCTCTGCACCCCGAAGGGCGCCCCGGTGAACCACTTGGTGGCCGTGGAGCCGACGCGGTTCCAGCCATGAGCTCCGGCGGCATCCTGGCTTTCCCTCATGGCAGGCCTGCGCGCTGCCCGCCTCCGCTGCTGCCACGGCAACCCGGGCCTTGTGATGCGCCCCGGAGCTGTGGGCCTCGCCCTCGCCCACGTGGCGCCCCCACCGGCGTGCGCACGTAGCCCGCTGATTTTTAACTTGTCCGTGCACATTTTCAGGGTCCTTCCCTGGCCCCTGCAGATGTAATGGCCCTTCTTGTATTTAATATGGATGCCATTGGGTGGGGTCTTACAGTCATTTGTTGAGGAAGTGTTTCTGATTTCTGGCTTTATCCCAGAGCCCTGCATGGAGCCTGCCTAGGCTCAGAAAGAACCTTTTAAAGTTCACCTTGTGCTGATGGGAAACTGAGGCCCACAGAGAGGGCCGCCTTGGGCAAATGACATCCCAGCTCCTTCTCCACTTTGGGAGTCAGGGGAGCAGAAGTAAGGGGGAAAGGGCAAGGAGAGCCAGAGGGTGGAGGGCTGGGCAAAGCTGCAGGGGTAGTCAGGACTCAACCGGCCCCTAGACGTCCCTGGCACCCACTCTGGGCAGACACAGTGCAGAATGACTGGGACCCAGATGTGGTCCCTGCCCTGAAAATAATGGGGGAAGCAATGACCACATACTATGGTCAGGTCTATGAGAGAGGGAGGCCTCTGACCCAGCCTGTGGGTAGGTAGGTCAGGGAAGACTTCTTGGAGGAGAATTCCAAACTCAACATTGAAGCATATGGATGACTTTCCAAGTAAAGAAAGGAATTGAGGGTATGTACCCCACACAGGGCATAGTCAGCTCTCTCTTCCCTCCTTCTTTACCCCCCAACCAGTGCTCCACAGCCATGCTCTGAGATTGTCTAATTTCTCTCACGATGGCTTGTGATCTTCCCAAGGATCTTAGGCAAAGGTGGGGCAGAGATCCATACCCCATTCCATGGTGACAGGATTGAAGCCAGAGAGGCGTAGGTTGTACCAGAGGCCCTGCTTCCAGCCCATGGTGAACCTGGACCAGAGGCACAGTGGGTCTTCTGCCAGGCCCCACCCAGTGCCCTTCTGACATCCCAAGCTGGTAGTTAGATAAGAAGTGTGGCTCCCCAGCACAGCTGAGAGCTGGACCCTTAGGCTCCAGGCCTGGCGGGCCACTGCTGGCAGAGCGTCTGCGCTGCACCACTGAGCTGATGGTCAGAGGTGGCAGGCCTCAGGAACATGCACAGAACGGAAAGCCTGGGTCATCTAAGCAGACTCTGCCCTTCCCAGCCGTGGGATCTTGAGCAAGTCACTTCTTTCTCTGAGTCACAGCATTATCAGTTTCATTCTATAAAATGAAAGTAATCGTCTCTATCTCCCAGGCTGCTGTGAGGATGAAATGACCTGATTTAGGTAATACTCTTGGCACACAGCAGGAGCTCAATTGGAGGTCATTCCCAGCCCTTGGTTAGAGACCTTTACAGAGGCCTGAGGACAGACACTTGTCTCATTTCCTCCTGGTGCAGCATCTAGCACATAGTAAATGTTCAGGAAATATTTGTTGAATGACAAGGGAATGAATACATGCATCTGGTCAAACTACCCAATAACACATAAATCCTCAAAGACACATTTAAATCTGGCTCTGCCACTTCCTGGGTGCTGACCTTGGGCAAGTTACCCTTGCCAACTTTGATTTCCTCTTCTGTGACATGGACCTATGACTGTGGCTTCCTGGAAAGGCTGTTTTGAGGTGTCAACAAGGTGTGGATGTGCACACTCTCCAGTCCTGTGCACTTCAGCCAGCCCTGGGTCTGCTTGGGTATTCTCAGGGTGGCCCAGACATGCCTGCAGCTATATTGCTGCTTCTCTTCTGGCCTGAGCCCCATGGCTCTAGGACTCATGGAGGAGTGACCAAAGGCTATAAGCCAAGGTCCACTGGGCTGGGAGTCGTGGCTGCCAGGAAAGCCAGAACAGGCCAAATGAGTCAGCTCTGCAGCAAGGCCGCCTGCCCTGGTCAGCCCAAAGTTTCCCATCACAGCAGCTTCCTTGTCTAGCATCTCACCCATTTTCTTTTATAGGCACCATTGCACCCTCATTGTACACAAGAGGAAACTAAGGCTCAGATGGGGAGAATAACTTGCCCTGGTCACATCTCGTGAGGCATAGGGTCACACCATGAATATGGGACTCATAAGCACATTGGAGAGCTCCCTGGCTGCAAGACTGTTTAACCCGTCCAGACTCCAGAGCCACTGTTGTGTCAGTGGAGTCAAGTCAAGCTTCTCAGTCAGGACTTGGGCCTCTGTGATAGGGCTGTGGCCCCTGCCTTCAGTCCTCATCTCCTGCCATCTCTGCCCCATGCTCTGTAACCTCCAGCCACAAGGCTGCTCTGTCCCTAGGACACACCCTCCCCTGGAGAACCTCTAGCTTTTTCATACCTTTGCTGCTGATGATATGCGCTCCCCACCAACCTACCCTTCCCACCCAACTCTCTTACTCATCTTTTTCAGAGTCAAATCAAAAGCCAAACCCACCCATTAGGATGGCTATTATCTTAAAAAAAAAAATAGAAAATAACATACGTTGGTGAGGTTGTAGAGAAACTGGAACCTTTGGCCATTGCTGGTGGGAAAGTAAAATAGTCCAGCTGCTGTGGAAAACAGTCTGGCAGTTTTTCAAAGAATTAAACATAGAATTACCATATGATCCAGCAATTTCACTGCTGGGCATATACCCAGAAGAATTAAAGGCAGGAACTCAAACATGTATTTGTATGCCCACGTTCATAGCAGCATTGTTCACAATAATCAAAAGGTAGAAGCAACACAAGTATGCATTGACAGATACATGGATAAACAAAATGTGATATATTCATACAATGGAATATTATTCAGCCTTTAAAAGGAAGGAAATTCTAACACGTGCTACCACATGGATGAATCTTGAAGACATGCTAAGGGAGATAAGCCAGTCGCAAAACAACAAATATTATATGATTCCACTTATGTAAGGTAACTAGAATAGTTGAATTCACTGAAACAGAAATAGAATGGTGGGTACCAGGTGCTGGGTGGGGAGAGAATGAGGAGTTATTGTTTAATGGGTATGGAGCTTCCATTTGGGAAGATGAAGTTCTGGAGATGGAAGGTAGGAACAGTGGTATAGCAGTGCCCTCAGGGACAAGGACGAGGCCAGGGGAGCATTCATGCACTTAATGCCACTGAACTGTACACTTGAAAATGGTTAACACTGTAAATTTTTTGTTAAGTATACGTTGTTGCAATTTTTTTTTCTTTGAGACGGAGTTCTTTGCTCTTGTTGCCCAGGCTGGAGTGCAGTGGCACAATCTCGGCTCACCGCAACCTCCGCCTCCCGGGTTCAAGCGATTCTCCTGCCTCAGCCTCTCGAGTAGCTGGGATTACAGGCATATGCCACCATGCCCAGCAAATTTTGTATTTTTAGTAGAGACGGGGTTTCTCCATGTTGGTCAAGCTGGTCTCAAATTCCCGACCTCAGGTGATCCGCCCACCTCGACCTCCCAAAGTGCTGGGATTACAGGTGTGAGCCACCGCTCCTGGCCCGCAATTTTTTTTTCAAAGCCAAACCCTCTGTGAATCCACCCCTGATACTCTCAAGCAGGTGAGAGAACGAGTTTTATCACAGGATCACCAGCAATTTATAGCAAAATTTTCAATTAAAAATTATTAAAATTAATTTTATATTTAAAAATTGACAGGTGAAACATGGCACCAGGATGTTGTTTTAATTTAACTATTTTTTTTTTTTTTTGCTAATGTCAAATATTTTTTCAAGTTTACTAATTGGCTTTATTTCCTCTTTTGAAATGCTGGTCTGTGTTGCTTCATCTTGAAATACATAGATATTTCATCTATATGAAATATAAATATTTACATCTATATCTTCATAGATAGTCTATCTAGATTTCATCTAGATATATATTTCATCTGTCTGTCAAGATGAAACAACAGGGATGGCAGGAGCCAGGCCCAGGTGGAAAGAAGAGCGGGAGGAACTGGCCCCTGCAGCAGGGAGCACTGCCACCCAGCCTCCAGGCTAGAGGTTAGGGGACCACTCTAGACCTGGGAGGGACATTTGCCAAAGCAAGAAAACTGGGACCACAGGTGGAGTGCAAGATGGGATGGGAACCAAGCTGGAGGAGTGGGAGCTGACATTTATCCAGAGTGGCCATTTATCAGGCTTACCTGATAAATGCGGAAGGATTGTCATCCTCATGTCACAGGTGAGGAAAGTGTGGCAGGTCATACTTTATTAGGGTTGGAGAAGCAGGATTAGAACCAGCACATGCAGCCCATAGTCTTTGCACAGGAGCTCACTGCTGAGCAGAGAGGGCGCAGAGAAATCCCAGGAAGGAAGCCTCATAAATAATGGCCCAAAAAGAGAGGAGGGAGGTGGCAGGCTCCATTCAGAGGAAAAGCACTGAGGACCTGCAGAGAGGATGGGACAGCGGCAGGAGTAAGGGTGGCTGCCGCAGCTAGAACGGCCAGTCCTGACTCAGCTCAAGCAGACAGGGCGGAGCAGCGCCCCTGGAGGAAGGGCCCGGCCTTCAGCAAACTGGGGTTCCAGGTCTACCTACTTGGGTACGCCCCAGCTCTGTGACCTGGGCAAGTTCTCTTCCTCCTCTTGAGCCTCAGTTTCCTCCTCTGCTTAGCAGCGTAAAAACACGCCTTTTGCCTTGCACCGAGGTTTGCGCACCCCGTATTTGACAATGTGCCTGTTTTTCTGGCACACCTGGTTGTGCAATGTCAGCGTCTAGAAGCCGCTGAGCAGCGAAAGCGGAAACACCTACAGGGCACTCCTCGGGCCCACCCACCTGCGGGAGGCGCCCTGAGACCGAGAGGCCGCAGCGCCCGGGGCCTCTGCCGGCTGCCCCTCGCCTCCCGCACGGAGCTCGCTCGGGGAACGCCCCCATCCACTGCCCTCCACAGCCTCAGGGACAAGGGTGAGGCCAGGGGAGCAGAGGGAGCAGTCATGGCGGAGCTGGAGGCTGTGGCCGACGATCTAGACGCCCTCATCGACGACCTGGACTACCTCCCGGGCCACTTTCACCTGGAGATGCAGTTGAACTTCGAGCCGCGCTCGCCGGCCCCACAGCGCGCCCGGGACCTGAAGCTGCAGCGGGAGGGTCTGCGGCAGGAGCTCCAGCTGGCGGCCGCCCCGCAGCGCCCCGCTGTGCGTCACCTCCTGGGCGCTTTCGCATTCTACCTGGAGGAGCTGGACGAGGCCCGCGAGTGCTTCCTCGAGGTGGCCCACGAGCACCCGGGCAACCTCAATGCCTGGGCCAATCTGGCACACGTGTACGGGCGGCTGGGCCAGGAAGAAGAGGAGGAGGCGTGCGCCGCACGGCTGGCCGACCTCATGGGCCTGGCAGAGGAGCCCGAGGCCGCCGGGGACCCCCAGCTCCGCGCCGCTCGCTGCCTGGCCGAGCAGGGCTACGCGCATGGCTTCGACGTCGGCTGCGCCAGCCCAGAGGAGCGTGCGCGGGGGCTGGCGGCAGGCATCGCGCTCTACGACAAGGCGCTAGGCTACGGGCAGCAGGTAGGTGACCCCTGTCTCCCTACCTCCCTCTGGGAGGACTGTGGTCCTCCCATGGTCCCTTCTGTCTGCAGAGATGCCCCGGTACCCCTGACTCTCTCTCAACCATGGTCTTTTGGCCTCCCAAATGCCTTTCCAATGTGCATCCCCCGCCTGCCCCAGCCAGGCCTGTAGCTCTCTCCTGGGAGTGGAACCGCTTCCTAGTGGGACTGCCTGCCCAAGCCTCTCTTTTGGAAACAGCACAAGCCCAACCTGGACAATTCATCCTTCTTACCTTGCTCCTCCCAGCAAGTGCCTGTTCCTGCGCCTGTGCACACCCACCTAAGTAAAAGGCACAGTCAGGCATCCTGCCAGAAACTTGGGCACATTCCCACCTCTTCTCTCCCCCTCACCTCCATGTGAAGGGAGCACAGGGAAGCACAGCTCCCTTCACAAAGGCTCCGCACACTCCCCTCAGTGCCTTTTCCATGAATGATCATGGCTTCAGTAAGAGAAGATGTGAGAGTCAAGACCTCAGAAAGTACAGGTTGTAGGGCATGGACCTGACTTAAGGACAGCATGCAGGGTAGGGGTTAAGAGAGCTGACCCTGGGTTAGATGGTCTGGATCCAAATTCCAGCTCCCCCGTGCTCACTCACTTCAAATCAGTGCTTAGCACCACCAAGCTCCTTTCCCCTCCCTGTAAGATGGAGATAGTAATGTTACATATGTCATAGGCTTTGTCATCTGTAAAACAGGGACATCCCTCACTTGGTTGATGTCATAATTAACAGTTAATATTTGTAAAGCACCTAGAAAGAGCCTGCACAGGGATGAGCAGGGTCACAGATGACCCCTCCCTCTCCCCGGCTGGGAGAGCTTCCTCTGCTCCTAAGCTGGGTGTAGACATGACCACTGATTGCATGAGGTCAACAAGAACCCAGGTCTCTTGTTTCAGTCCTGAGCCTGTGGCCCTGAATGCCAGGCTACCTTCAGTGGAAGGCACAACCAAGATTGATGTGTTGAATGCGGTCATGACAGCAGGTCATGGCAGCAGAGAGGGGCCTGAAGAGCCCTGGGCTAGGAGCCAGGAGGCCTAGGTTCTTGTCTCAGCTGCAACACTACCCACAGTGGGGCCTTCTTCTCCCTGGGCTGTGGTTTCTTCATCTGTGAAAGGGGTGCAGGAAGCAGGGGCTACATGGTCTCTGAGGCACTTTCCTGCTCTTAGGAGGCCGTTCACTGGGGGAAGCCTTCCTGGAGGAGGTGAGCAGGAAAGCAGTGATTCAGGGGTAGCTATCAGAGGCTGGCTCTTCCCTCTCTGGGAACACGGCCACAGTGGGGATTCCCCAGTGAGTGAACATCCAGATGAGAGAGTGCTAAGCAGGGTGCCCAGCACTCCAGGGAGGGAGCCGATTGCTTCATGGGGGTGTGGCTGCCAACCCTGTGCTGTGTCCTGGGGCATGGCCCAGCAGCTGCTCCACAGTTCTGCACAGAGCAGCTGTGGTCAGCCCCCTACACAAACCTCCAGAGAGAGTTTGGGATTTGGAGACCCTATTTATCATCTGAGGATTAGATGACATCATGCTTCTAAAGCACCTGGCAGAGTAGGTGCTCAAGAAATAGTTGCAGGCAGGATGACAATAATGATGGTTGCATCACTTTTAGAGTCAGAGGTTTCGTTCTGAGCACCTAGTTCTGTTATTATTTTGCTGTGTGGCTGTGGACAAGTCACTTGTCGTCTCTTGTGACTTGCCTGAGTTCCTGCTTCATAAACATTGATCAGCTCCAGGTTTATTGGGATTATGCAACAAATGATGAGAGTAAAAATGCCCATAAACTGGAAAATTCTGGGCATGTCTGAGAGGCATTTACTGAGCATTTTAACATTTATTGAACACCTACTATGTGCCAGGCTCTGTTTTTAAGAAGTCCCTGCCTCTAAGAAGCCCTTGAACAAAAGGAGAAGCAAACATTTGCTTCTTCATTAACTATGCTTACCTGAGCCCCTCTTCTGGGAATGGTCCAAAGGGACAAATCAGAGACGTGTCTACCACTGGCTGAGGACACAGGCATTCATCACAGGCCTGTGTCATTGGCAATCATCTCTAAGTACTGTACACCCAGAGGTCACACTTTCTGAACCAAAAACAGGGCCCCAGGGGCTGACAATGAAAGTACACTCTGGGGATATGGGGACCAAAGGTTGGTATCAACAGTGACCTGGAAAGTCCGGGCCCTGTGGATAAAGTGGGAGTGACTGAGGCAGAGAGGGAACACTCCCCTTCAGCAGGAGTTCCCAGGCAGGAATGAGGGGGGACACACCCAGCAGGAGCATGGTGCATGCAAAGGCCCCATGGTGGGGCCTGCAGAGCACGGGGGCTTGAGTGCCAGCTGAACTGGGGCAAGGAATGAGGCTTGCCCAGGGTCACAGAGCTAGTAAATGGCAGCTAAATCCATGCCACCCTGGTTGACTGCACAGCCTTTGCTCTTTCTGGAGAGTTCAGAGAAATGGGGTATAATGCAGATGGCGAGCAGGATGGTGAGGGGAGACCCCTCGCAGGCGTACTCCTGGAAATCTAAGGCAGAGGAGTATGGAGAGAGAGGAGGTGGGTGGGTTTCCATGTGTCCAGAGACTGGGGAGGATGAGGTAGAAGGTGAAGTCAGAGTCAGGCCAGGAAAGGAGGAGGAGGAGGGACCCCCTGCAGCGAGAGATTTTCCATCCTTGTGGGGCTGGGACCCTCCCAGGTGGGGAAGAGCCTCTGGACCTCAAAGGACAAAGAGCTGCTGAAGAACTGTGAACAGCTGCTCATCTGCTAACCTAAACTACAAAATAATAACAATAATAATAAATTATAAAAGAAAACATTATAAAAGTTAATCATTCAGCCCGTAATCCAAACATAATCAGTGTTTGTATGGGAGGGGGTGTGTCCCTGTGACTTCCTTTCTTTGCTCTTCATTCCCTACCATTTCTTTCTTTCTTTCTTTCTTTGAGACTGAGTCTAGAGTGCAATGGCACGATCTCGGCTCACTGCAACCTCTGCCTCCCGGGTTCAAGCAATTCTCTCAGCTCAGCCTCCCAAGTAGCTGGGATTACAGGCACCTGTCATCGTGCCTGGCTAATTTTTGTATTTTTGTAGAGACTGGGTTTCACCATGTTGGCCAGGCTGGTCTTGAACTCCTGACCTCAGGTGATCCGCCTGCCTTGGCCTCCCAAAGTGCTGAGCCACCGCGCCCAGCCACATTTCTCTTTCTTAAATTACAAAAAATATGAGGAGGCAGATCGCTTTGATCACTCCCCTCCTCCTCCCATCAACCCTCTAAATATACACACATGTGTATACACACGCCATCTCTTACACACATATACACTCACAGATGGACCCTTGGTAGCAAATCTCTAGATTAAGTAGCTATTAAGAGCATAAGCTTTGGAGTTAGACCAGGTGAGAATTCTGCCTCCATCACTAGCTGGCTACAGGCAAGTCTTTATTCCTCTGAGCCTCAGTTTCCTCCTCTGTAAAATGGGATTCTAACGTGAACCTCACATGATTCCTGTGAGGATTGAGAAAACATGAAAAGCACCAGGCAGGGGCACATAAGGTCCTGCCTGGGGCTTCTCCCTGCCTGCCCTGGCCCACAGCACTTCACCACTGCTCTTCAATAGAGCCTTCCCAACCTCTGGCTTACCCCCACATGGTTTCTTTCTTGCCCCTAGAGTGTGGGCATTCTGTCTTGGGCTTTTCTCTCTCTTCCCCATCCACCCTCCTCAATGTCTGACGTAGAGCTGAACACCCAAGAGGAGTTTGCAACCATTGTTTAATTTAGTCGAATAACTGGATTCTGTCTTTAAAATCCCTATTTTTTAAAATAAAATAAATCCCTTTTTAAAATAAAATCCCTATTTATTGTCTAAGATTAAAAAAAAATCCCTGTCCCAAGCCAACTCAGTTATGTTATTTTCTTCCCCTTTTCCCAAAACACTGGTGCTTTAACACAAACACATGCAGTCACATACACACCAGGGCAGGCCCTGAGTAATGACAGGAACCACACCCGCAATGGTGTCTGTGCACCGGGCACTGAGCTCAGGATCTTACCTGCCTTTGCGCATTTAATTTTTATTCAGACCTCACAGACACACCGCCAGGTATTGTGATTCCCCCTTGCACCCCGGGCATAACAGACTCAGGGAGGGGAAGGGACTTGCCCAGGTAGGCCCAGTGCACACGGGGCTGTCCATACTTCACCAGCCAGCTGAGGCGGCTGGGGAGGGAGGTGGCCAGCCTCACAAACAAAGGTGTGGGCATTCCAATCCATCACTGCGCCCAGCGGGGTGGGGACCTGGCGGGAAGGCCCAAGAGAGTGTCATAGGTCAGCAAGCCCAGGATCCCTGGTATGCACGCATGCGTGTCCACACGTGCGCACGCGCACAGACACACACACGCGCACACACACACGACTCCACAATTCTGAGTGGTTTGATTTGGTTCAGCTCCATGAGGAGGTAGATGAAGCTGGATGATATCCCAGGCACTGTGCACACAAGTGCTTTTCATCGATTATCTCATTTGATCATCACAGAAATGCTGGCAAATCCATTAACCCCATTCTATAGACAGCAAACTAAGGCACAGAGAGGCGTTGTGTCTTGCCCAAGGGCACGTGTGGCTGACAGGAACTGAACTCAGGTCTATGGGACATCAAAGCCCAGGAGGAGAGACAGCTTTCCTAAGGGTCTGGCTCCAGCCTTATGTGGTCTTGGGGTGCTCACCTTTGCATATCAGTGCCCTCTAAGTTTGCTACTGGCTTCTCTCCCCACTTAGCTGGGAAGTTTGAGAGCTGGGTACCCTCCTCCTCATAGATACAGAAGCCCAGAGAGAAAGCTGATTTTAGCATCATCCAGCCCAACCACCTCTTTTACAGGAGAAAAGATGATGTATGTGAGAGTGCAGCACAGCACAGACCCACGGGAGGAGCTGAGAAAATTCAGGCATCACTGTTGTTACTGCAGAGGGTAAGAGACTTCTGCAGACCCACTCAGCTACTACCGGTGCTAGAGTTGGATTTGGACGCTGGACCAGATAGGGAATGGCCCTCTCACTAGGGACAATGAAACAGAGAAGTGGCTCAACACAGGCCAGCAAGTCTGGGACCCAGCACAGAGCAAAGCTGACTCACAAGGCCTGTGTTTGCATGACAGACCTAGGACCAGAAAGGAGGTGGCAGCAGGGAGCCGCTCAAAGCTTAAAATCTGCAGGGAACTGTCCAGGGAGCCCAAGACAGGGCCAAATATTTGTTTCCATGGCCTAACACCCAAGTCCCAAATTCCCTCCACCTGTGCGCATACCACCTCAGCCAACATGCCTATGATGCAGGCAGGCCACATGGGGTCACCCCTGTTTGCAGATGTAGAAGCTGAGCCATGCCAGTGGGCTCTCCAGGACCCCTAGAGGAGTGAGAGGCAGGGGTGGGATTCCAATCTCATCTTCTGTTTCCTCCCCACACCTGACAAGGCAGGAGCACAAGAGCATCACCACCCACAGCTGGGTGTGGGGAAGAGCAACCCCCTTCCCTGCCTGTCTTGTACTATGGCCCACAGGCGGCAGGCTGGGGCCAGGTGGGGCGGGGCTCAGTGTGCAGGAGCAGAAAGGCTGCTCTGTGTCATCACAGAGGACATTCCAGTTGTGCAGGAAGGACATATCCACAGGCCTGCCACCTTGTGACTTTTATTTCTGCAGTGTCAGCCTTCACAGAGTCAGCATGATGAGGTGGAAACAACAGGGGCATTGGAGGGAGGCAGATCTGAACTTGAATCCTGGCACTTCTGCCCTGGGCTATGGGGCTGGGCCGGTGGCTTTTTCTGTAGTCTCTGTTTCCTGATCTGTAAAAGGAGGAAGATGCATTATACCTTCTGAGGCTGCTGTGAGAACCCAGTGCCATGATGCACTGAGGAGCCCAGTGACACTGGAGAAATGTTCATTCTCTTTCCTGTTTGTCATTCCTCCTCCCCAGAAAGAAAATTAGTCAGCTTTCAGGAACTGACTCTGAATCTAGAGGACAGCCTGTCATCAGGGGCAAAGTTCAAAATACAAGGCAAATATTTTCCTTAAGAACAAGCAAGGTGTCTGTATAGCCTATTCAAATGCATATATATTGTAAGTCATTGGGGTAGTGAAAGATCTTCTATTGGAATAACTTAAAATAGCCAAGCTCCCCAACATTTCCTTCTTTTGGGGCCATCTTTTGAAGTAAATGGGATGCTGATATCCAACCTTGTACCCCACCCGAGTTAAGACATACCTACTCTGGTAATGGCTTATCCTAATCCTACCATTTCCTGCAGTTTCTGTCGGGTCACTAACCTTTTTTGCTTCCTCACCCAGCCCACAGGAGCTTCGATCTTCAGCCTTCCCTGAGGATCACAATTTCTGATCCTTTTACTCACTAAAAAAGAGACAAATCTTCTAGCCCATTTTTGCTCCACCTTAGGGTAGTACAGTGAGAGCCTTGTGCAATGGTTCTCAAACTTCAGCATGCAGTAGGGGGCCTGTTAAAACACAGGTTGCTGGGCTCCCACCCCAGAGTTTTAGATTCAGTGGGTCAAGAATTTGCATTTCTATCAAATTCCCAGGTGCTGCTGCTGATCTTGCTGGTCTGGGGGCCACACTTTGAAAACCGCTTGTCTAGGGTAGTTGGAGGCAAAGACTCTGGAGCTAACTCGCAGAGTTCTCAGCCCTACTACCTGCTAGCTGTGTCACTCTGGGTGCATGCCCTAACCACTCTGTGCCACAGTTGCCTCATCTGTAAACTTGGGAGAATAACAATCCCTACCCCATAGGTAACCCTTGAGAAAGTCTAATGGGGTAACGCATGTAAATGAAGTGCCTGGTGCATAGTAAGTGTTCAAAAGTTGCTATTATTAATATAGCAAAAGAGCATTATCTCCAGGTTTCAGTCGAGACTGTTACACTGGACATGTGACTGTGAAGATAGCATCTTGCCTCAGTCTTCCCATCTGTACAAAGAGGGTAATGATACTCCATTTACATTCCATGAGGCTGTTCTGAGGATCACATGGAATCTGTGTGAAAGCCCTTTGTAAATGGTAAACACTGTACAAACACTAGCTCCTTGCAGCTAGATCTTGTGGGAAGAGCACTGAAGTCAGAGAGACCTGGCCTGAAGTACCAGGTTAAGTAGGCAACCTCTGCTTCTGTCAGCCTCAGTTTCCCCATCCCTAATATGAGGAAAGTAATAGCAAGGGCCTCAGAAGAGCTGGGAGGTGTGCTGAGAACACCTCACCTGAGGTCTGTCTCTCATGCTCACCTTCAGCTCATACCAGGGTCTACAAATTTCATTTTAGGGTCAACATGGGCCTCGCCTAGTTCCCTCCCATGAATCTGCTACAGAACAGCAGCCTAATGTAAGCTCCTCTAGCATAAACCTGGACTCACACGCTGGCCAGCCTCTCTCATAGACCACGGAATCCCCAGCCCACGGGATTGTGATAAGGATCGAATGAGAGAAAGGTGGGGGTGTCCTGACCGGAGGCCACCCACCCCAGGCAGGTTCACTGTAAATACTCCTCTTCTGGCAGAAGTCCTGTGAGCCTCCTCCCAGGCTGCCTCCAAACATCTTGCCTCTGGGAGTCATAAACTCTGTAACTGAATTCCTTGCAGCCATAAGAGGTTTCACAGCAACTTTATTCTCCAGGATAGAGGGGGAATACCCCCTCCCTTCTCCAGGAGGGGAGGGGGCAGTCACAAGCCTGTTTAATTTAATTTAATGCACTATGGCTTGCCAGGTTGCCCCTAGTAACAGCTTCAGCGGCTGCTTCAGTTACTGCTTCAGTTACAACCAGAAGGACTTTTAAAGAGACAGTCCAGAGCCAAACACAGTGGCTCAAGCCTGTAATCCCAGCACTTTGGGAGGCCGAGGCGGGCAGATCACCCGAAGTCGGAAGTTCGAGACTGGCCTGACCAACATGGAGAAACCCCGTCTCTACTAAAAATACAAAATTAGCTGCGTGTGGTGGCACATGCCTGTAATCCCAGCTACTCGGGAGGCTGAGGCAGGAGAATTGCTTAAACCCGGAGGCGGAGGTTGCGTTGAGCCAAGATCGCGCCATTGCACTCCAGTCTGGGCAACGAGCGAAACTCCGTCTAAAAAAAAAAAAAGAGAGAGAGACAGTCTATTTTGGAGCCAGAATTGCACCACAGAGTGAACAGCCAACACCAGCTTCACCACAGGGATAGAGGAATAAAGCTCAGGCACAATGAGGCTTCTGACTAGGTCTGTGTATCCCATTAATTCTGTTCCATTTCCACTGACCCCATCTGCAACCCCACAAGCCCTCCTGCAAATGCTGCTCTCAAGCGGGATCTGATGAGGGACTACTTTAGGGATTTGTCACACAGATGACACCCAATTAGCTACTTTTTTGAAAATCAATTTTAGTCATCAAGTTGAAGGGGAGGAGAGTTGACGCTTAGGAGTTGCCCCTGCAATTCAGGCATAGTGCCACCAGGTGGTGGTATTGCTTGCTTAGTGAAAACCTTAACCAGGCTCTTGAATTAATCAGTAATAGTCAACAGTGCGCAGAGTGGTGGTGAAACCACTGGACTGTAAGCTCTGATGCTAACTAGTGTGGAACCTTAGGTAAGCCACTTCGCCTCTCTTGTCTCGGTGTCCTCGGATATCTAGTAAGGAGATTGATCAGGATAACTGAGTGTTGTGGACAAGGCTTGGGAATAGGATCATGGAGGCATGAATCTAAGCCCCAGCTCTATCATGTACTGTGGTTTGGACACATAATTTAACTTCTTGCCACTTGAATACCAAACAAGAGAGTGGCTGGGAGAGCCCTGAGGACAACACATTAGTCTCCAACACTGGGGACCTGTGGAGGCAAGAAAGGTGCCTGGGACCCAACAGGGGACTGGAGGTCCTGAGGTCCTGGGAGCATAGTTGGGAGAGGACAGCAGGGTGCCACAGGATGGCTCCAGATTCCAGGGCCAAAGACCACGTTGCCTCATCGGGCACTGAAACACGCCACAGTGGACAAAGTAACCTCCTAGGGAACACTAACCCTACTCAGCTCTACCCAGACCAGGAAAAAGGGAACAGACATCTATTCTGGGCCAGGCACTGCCCTCACAACTCCTGAGAGGCCCATATGATTATCCTCCTTTGCAGATAAGGACATAACCTGCCAGGGGTAACATCCCCCAAGGTCACCCATCTCATATGGCCAGGCCTGCCAGGCACACGAGCCTCAGCTCTTCGCTTTCCCACCCCTCAAGTCTACTACACCTGTTCTTGCTGGATGCTAGGCTCCCTTGCCAGGAGCAAGGAAGGCAGAGTGGGTTCTCTTTCTCCCCACCATGACTCAGTTGAGCCAACCTCAAAGCAGGTGAGGGACCAGAGGTCATGGGATTGCTCACATAGAAGCAGCCAGGGGGCCGGACGCGGTGGCTCACACCTGTAATCCCAGCACTTTGGGAGGCCAAGGTGGGCAGATCAGTTGAGGTCAGGAATTCAAGACCAGCCTGGCCAACATAGCGAAACCCCATCTCTACTAAAAATACAAAAACTAGTCGGGTGTGGTGGCAGACACCTGTAATCCCAGCTACTCGGGAGGCTGAGGCAGAATAGCTCGAACTCAGGAGGCAGATGTTGCAGTGAGCTGAGATCACATCACTGCACTCCAGCCTAGGTGACAGAGCAAGACTCCATCTCAAAAAAAGAGGAAGAAGAAGAAGGAGGAGGAGGAGGACGGAGAAGAAGAAGGAAGAAGAAGGAAAAAGAAGAAGAAGAAAGAAGAAAGAAGCAGCAGCAGCAGCAGCAGCAGCAGCAGCCAGGAAGCCTGAGGCACCCCATGTGCCCCTGATCCTTTACATGGTCAGGCTTTGACACATCATGCCAGTTTGGCCCACACTAGGTGCTCCATAAATCCCAGTCTCCTTTTTCCTTCCCAGGTCCAGTGTAAGTAAAGCAGATAAGGGTATCCAGAGTCCTATCCCTGCCTTTTGCTTTGGGAAGTGTTCCCCACTTCTCAGGGATGCCCTTTAAGCCTTGAGGCCATCCCTTCTCCCCTCCAGACAGTCCTATTCCCAGCTAAAGTCCCAATATACATATTCCCACCTAAGTAACAGGATTACCTTTCAAGGTGATACAAATGTAAAGGCACACATCCGTCGGATCTTGGCATTCCTGAGCTCTAGCCTCTTTTTCTTTTAAGAAACACGGTCTCACTTTGTTGCCCTGGCTGGAGGGCAGTGGTGCTATCATAGTTCACTGCAGCCTTAAACTCCTGGGCTCAATCAATTCTCCCATCTCAGGCTTTAGAGCAGCTGTGACTATGGACTTGCACCACTGTGCCTGGCTATTTTGATTTTGATTTTCGAGTAGACAGGGTCTCATTATGTTGCACAGGCTGGTCTTGGACTGCTGCTGGGCTTCAGAGATTCTCCTGCCTCACCTTCCCAAAGTGCTGGGAGTACAGGCATAAGCTACTGCGCCCAACCCTCCAGCTCTATCTCCTTCTATAACTCCCCACTACCTTGCAGATGAGCTCCAAGTCCTGACCCTGGTACTCAGGGGCCCCTCCTGATTATGCGCCTGCTGGCTCTTCCCTCCACTCCTTACCATCAGGGTTCCAGCCCTCTGGCTGCATGCAGACCCCAGCATGCCTTGCTCGCTCTTCTCTGAGCTTTTGCACTTGATGTCCCATCCTCCTAGATTGCCTTTTCTCACCGTATCCACCTGGGTGATTCCTACTTGTCCTTGAGGACCCTGCCCTAGTACTTCCTCCTCTGGATAGCCATGGGGATGTTCCTGGATTATACAGGATACCTCCTTGGGCTCCCATTGCCCCCATGTTCCTTCTACTCTATTGTGTCTTTGGGTCTGGTTTTCTTGCAGGACCCAGAGCCTGCCTTTTCTCTCCTGTCCTTATTGCCCAGCCGAGAGCCACACAGAGAAGATACTCAGGGAATACTGACTGAGAAATGCAATTAGTGGGGCCCCTTTTGGGTGGTCTGACTGGGACCTGGGTTCCAGACCCTGTCCTGATGGGTGGTCACACCAGTTGGTGGGATCTGACTCACAAGGACCCCTCCCTTCAAATTCATCCAAGGTTTCCCCGGAGCAGCCACACCTAACCTGCTAGCATTGGCTCCCCCAGATCCCCATTCACACACTGTGTGCTGCACACCCATCAGCTGCCCATCCCCAACGTCTCCAGGCCTCTGCTCACGGGAGCCCTCCATCTGGAGCCCACCCTTTGAAGTGCCAATATGACCCAAGACCCTCCTTAAGCCCACATCCCCCAGCTGGGAGTGGCCTGCCCATCCCCCACACTTCCTCTGTACCACTCTCATGGCCTCTATCAGGCCTGGCTTCATACCACAGCTATTGGCAACCCAGTGTGGGGAAGCAAGCATGGGCTTTGGAGGCTGACAAACGGGGACCAGATCCCAGCTCTGACCCTCAAAAGCTGTGTGACCTCAGGCAAGTCACTTTATCTCTCTGAGCTTCAATATGTTCCACTATAAAATGTGGATAACAGCTACATGATAGGTTTGTTGTGAGATGGAGAAAATGGGTGTCAGGATCCTGGCACATGCAGGCACTGAGTGGCATCCTATTACTGAAGCCTGGATCTGCTTCCCCTGCCAGGTTGTGAGTGCGTTTGGGTCAGGGTGCAGGTCCCATTCAGTGCCACATTCCCAGAGCACCCAGCACAGGACCTTATGCCATAGGTGCTCACAAATGCATTCACCCCAGCTGCTGGGGACGGGGGTAGAGAGATGATGGGTCCCCCTCCCCCACAGCTGAGGAGGCCACAGTCGGGGTGGCAAGTACAGAGTGAAGCCTCCAGATCAGGGACGGGAGATGAATGTGGAGGGAGGGGCTGGAGCCTGAGGGAGAGCTGCTGATATGCACTGGGGGGTTTTACTGGTTTTCATTAAAATTCCTTCCCGAAGCTGGAGCAGCTACTACCATAAATAACAGCATAAATATTTTATCTGGTGCCCAAGTCGCACAGCAAGGTTGGCAGGAATAATAATGGCAAAACAGTTCAGGGGGGTTCTTGGGCTTCAGCTGAGCTGGGCTCACTTAACATGACCAAAGGGACTTTCTCAGGAAGGTGAAGACTGCAGGGATGGCACCAAACGGGAGGCCGGTGGGCGTGGAGGAGAGGGTGGGCAGTGGGGTGTGCGCCCTGGGGTTGGGGGGCCTGTGGCGGGGTGGGGAGGAAATGCTCGCCATACCTGCTCTAGGATAGGCACCTCACTGGGGGCCCTCACAAAGTCTCTGTAGTCAGAGAAGTGAAGTGACTTGCCCAAGGCCACCCAGCCAGTCAGGGGCAGAACCAGGACTGTAATCAAAGGTGTTTAAGGTCAAAGCCCTTCCCACTTGTGCCTGCTGCCTCTTGGGGTTCAGTGAGTGTGGGAGTTTATGAACAATGGCCAGAGTACCTCAGTAATGGCAGTGTGGGCTGTTCTCTGTTTCCCTAGATCCCGATGGAGGAGAAAAGGGGCTGGTATTTCACCATGGCAACACTCTACATCAGGTCAGGCAAGAGGGTGGTGGGGGTACGGGATGGAAGAGGGAGAGGTGTGGCCTGGCACCCAGCCAGCAGGGTAAGGGCAGAGGTGGCTGGGCCCTTCCTACTGGAAAGGGCTCCCCAAACCGCCACCCCCCACCACCACAGGCCTGGGCAGGGCTGGCAGCACACAGGACAGCCGGGAGGGGTGCCACCCAACCACATCTCCTTCTCGGCCACAGGCTAGATGGCATCTTCCTGGAGCTGGGCAGTGAGGAGCAGAAGAGACTGCCTGCCTTCAACCGCACGCTGGCCCTACTCCGGCAAGTGCTGAAGTCCGAGGACCCCCGCCACCGAGGTGGGGACCCGGGGGATGGGTGGGACAGCAGCCTCTGCCCCCTGCCAACAGCCCGCTGGCATTGCATCCACCTCTGGCATTACCTCCCCTTCTTGGCTCCTGTTTCTTCCTCCTTCGCTCTGTCCCCTACACTCATCTGTGCACCTCAAGGAGCCCACATACCTTGCCCAAGTGAACATGCCAACTACAAGTCACTGTGACTGCAGGCTTGCCCGTCTGCAGCTCATGACCTGGAGGGTGAGAGGTAGTTTCCCCTATTTCCACCTATTTATGGTCAGAAGATTGAAGCCTCTGTTGGAGAGGAGTCGAGTCATTTTTTTGCAGGGCCAGACAGCAAGAGCAGGGACTAGAACCACCAGAGCTGGTGAGAGCTGAAGTCAGAAGAGACCTACGTACCTGAAATTAGGTCCCCCGATGACACATTGAGCACAGAATAAGCACTAAAATGGGTTCACTAACCCCTCACATGGCCCCTCTCTCCACCTTTGCTTCTCTCTGTCCCTGTGTTGCCCTCAGTGATCCCACTCTACTATCCCTTGCTTTGTCTTCATGGGTGACACCTAGGATGGGGATGGCCCCTTCCCTCTCTCCACCCTGCTGCTTCCTAGAGACCCTCTCCCACCCTTCACCCCCAGCCCTGGCCTGGTGCTACCTCGGGATGCTGCTGGAGCGGAAGGACACCTTCTCCACCACCCCCATGGGCGTCCATGACTGCGGGTACTCAGGGACCGACCCTCTAGACTGCTTCGGCAAGGTACTTGCCCCCAGCCACACCCACCCTCTAAACTGAGAAGGAGCCTGGCACCCCAGCCTCTCCACCTAGAACCCAGGCTTCTCTGGGTATCAACCCCCACCGCGTGGCCCACCCAGGAAGTACACTTACTCCAGACCTTGCTCTCCATCCTCTCTTCATTCAAAACAAAAGAGACCCTCCCCATACCCAGTCTGGCCCCAGCCCATTTCTCCAGCCTTGAAATAGACCCTTAGACTTTTTCCCTTGAGACCTTCATTCACAGTATTCCCTCTGCCAGGAGTTCCCTACCTCTCCACCCCCAGTGGCATAGTAGAAAGATGGGTTTAGCTGGTGTCTCCTTGCCAGCCCTGCCCATAGGCTGTGTGACCCTAAGGCAAGTCACTTACAACAGGAAGCAGTCAATGACAATAGTGAGGGTAAGTGTTATTACCCAGGTAGAAACCCTGTACTTTGTAAGGTTGGGGGATGGGGGTTGCCTCTGGCCCTTCCTCTCACCTGCCCTAGGAAGATGGGAGAGCATACACTGGGAAGGAGGGGTCTGACTGGGCTCTGGAAGGCTTTACTGGATGTGACCGGTGATGTGGTCGTGGGCCAGGCTCTCAGGAGTTGAGTGCCAATAGGTTGTGCCCCAAGGTGTTGGGGCTTCGTGATGTGACAACTTACTGGCAGGTGGATAAGGGTGGATATGGGTAAAGGGCACCATGTTGATACGGCTGTATCCAAAGATGGGGTTCCTGTGGTTCAGCACTGTTTAGCCAGCTCTGGCTAATGACCAAGCAAGTGGTTTGTTTTTGCACTCCTCCCTTACCTAGGCCATTGAGATTGCCAAGAACCAACCTCCCATCCTGAATCGCCTGGCAAAAATCTTCTACTTCCTGGGAAAGCAGGATATGGCCATTGGAACCTGCAACATGGCCCTGGATGTCCTACGAGATCCAGAACTCAACTGGCAGGCGTACTGCACAAGGGCCAAGGTGGGTCAACTTCCTGCCCCACCATACCCTGCCATTGGGAATCAGAGAACAAGGGCCAGAGGCCAAGACCCTGTTGCCAGGGCCCAAGGGTCAGGGAGTCCTCATGGTGGAAGGGAGCTTAGGAGCCATCAAAAAACACAGTTGGGTTCTATAAAGTTTTTTGTTTGTTTTGAGACAGTGTCTCGCTCTGTCACCCAACTGGAGTATGGTGGTGCCACCACGGCTCACTGCAGCCTAGACCTCCTAAGCTCAAGCAATCCTCCCGCCTCAGCCTCCCAAATAGCTGGGACTACAGGTGCACACCACCACACCCAGCTAATTTTTGTTTTGTTTTGTAGAGACGAGGTCTCACTATGTTGCCCAGACTCGTCTCAAACTCCTGGGCTCAAGCAGTCCTCCCACCTCGACCTCCCAAAGTGCTGGAATTCCAGGTGTGAGCCACTACACCCAGCCCTGTAAGGTTTTTGAGTGAAAGAATGCAGGAGCCTCCACTCACTGCAGGAATCCCTTCTACAATTCCTGGTCAGTGAGCCCCCAGCCTCTTCTGGATTGGCACGGGTGGAATCAGACTGACCAGAGTTGAAATCTGGCTTCTCCGCCTTGTGGAACTTGCAGCAAGCCACTTACCCCCACAAACTTCAGTTCCCAAATCTGTAAGATATAAATAACAACACTTTCCTTAAAATGTTGTCAACAGACACAGTGAGGTAGCATCTAAAGCACAGTGCCTTGGACATAGGGGGTGCTTTTCTGAAAGCCAGTAGAGGTCATTTAATATAGTGGATCAGAGCTCTGGCTCTGAACACAGACAGCCTTGGTTCAAATCCCACAACACCACGTGCTACGGGACCTTTGGCAAAATACTCTTGCCCAGATTCTGAGCCTCAATTTCTTTATCTGTAGACTGGAGTTGTTATGAGAATTACATTAGATTTTGTATGTAAAACTCAGCATCAAGCACACAGTAAGATTTCATAAGAGACTGACTGCTACTAATTTAATATTAGGCATATTTTTGAATTATCTCACTGTCTCTTGATGCAGTCCACTGCATAGTCATTCAGCTCTGCAAGTTACACACTTAGGTGAGTTCTGCCTCCTGCTAGCTTCCCGCACTGGTCCCAGACCTGCCTCCTAGAGCCCACACAGAGCCCATGTGCTTGAGGAAGCCGACTCGGAGCTCCCAGTTTACTTCACTGCAAGCCGAAGAGTCCTCCCATCCCCTCATCTTCTCCACTACTATCCACATGACCTAGTGGCAAATCTACTCCCAGTCTTGGTCTCAGTGGCTTAATTACTTTGCCAGCAGGTACGAGGCAGGAGTGAAATTCCTTCACTGTCGTGGATGTGGTTATTATTCTAGATAATAATGACATTAACCATAATAGTAAATAATAAAATATCTCTATAAAATTCTGCATTTCATCAAGCACTTTCAAGTTCATGGTCTGATTTAATGTTCACAAGAACCCTCTGAGAGAGGCCGGACATGTCCATCCTACAAATGAGGCCACATAGAACCAGGGAGGCAGGGAACTTCCCCAAGGAACTGCATTCAATAATCAGAAACTCCAACTTTACTCTCCTCCCTCCATCACCATCTGGTGTCTTATGATCCTGGCCTCTCTGTGGTGCCAGAGGTCACACTTACTACTCAGATGACTAGAGGAGCACAGGATGGTGGAGAAGAGATGGGAGGAGGAGGGAACTCACATTATCTGTGTAAAAGCCTCAGTCCATGCTGCGGCCCATAAGCGTGGCCCTGGCCTCATGACCTCTCTACCCCACCTCCCTCTGCTCATGCCTCTCTCAGTCTTCCAACCCTACTGGCCTGGGCCTCTGCCTGGAATGCTCTTCTCCCAGATATCTGATTGGCTTCCTCCCACACTTCCTACAGGTCTTCTAGTGGCCATCTAATTGAAAATATCAAAGCCATGCCAACATTTAATTTGTTAATTAATTTATTTTTAAAATTATTTTAGAGATAAGGTCTCACTCTGTCACCCAGGCTGGAGTGGAGTGGCATGATCACGGCCCACTGCAGCCTTGAACTCCTGGGATCAAGTGATCCTCCCACCTCAGCCTCCCAAGTAGCTGGGACCACAGGTGTGCACCACAACACCCGCCCAGCTAATTTTTTAAAAATTATTTGTTGTAGATACAGGGTTCTGCCTATGTTGCCCAGGCTGGTTTCAAATTCTTGGGCTCAAGCAATCCTCCAGCTGCAGCCTCCCAAAGTGCTAGGATTATAGGTGTGAGCCACCACACCTAGCCTCCGCCAACATTTTATGTTTTCCTTTCCTGGTTTAGTTTTCTTCTTAGCACTAATCACTCCCTTACACACTATTTACATATTTATCATGTTTATTTTCTCTCTCCCCCAAAACATATAAGCTACTTAATGGCAGGGATTTTTGTGGTTTTGTTGTCTACTGTATTCTCAGTGCCTGGAACAGTGTCTGGCACAGAGGAGGCTCTTAATGAATATTTGCTGAATGAATAAATGAACTGAGCACCTACCATATGCTAGCTCCTGACTAGAATATGTTCTTTCAGACATCATGGTAATTCCCCAAGGAAGATATTCATGTACTAAGTTTTCAGATATAGAAATGAGGTTCAGGTTCATAGAGTTGTGGAACTCCCTCCAGATGACATGGCTAATAGCTAGGGGTTAAGGGAAGGACTGGAATTCAAACCCTAGTCCAACTGACCCGAAAGCCAGAGATTCATCTCCCCCTGCCTCCATGATGCTGTCTTATAAGCAAATCCCTTCTGATGACTATAAAGCATTAATACCTTCAACAACAATAACCCCTTTTCCCTTGCTTCCTTCTACCCAACCCAAACCCACCCCTCCTAAACCTCCAAACTTTGTAAATGCTCTAAGTGTGGGGAAAATGGAGGAATTCAGGAAAGCAAGGGTTTGAGATCATTTGTAATGTGATGCTTGGCAGTTGGGGCCACCTGCCATTCTTCCCAAACTGCTTGTTGACATAGACTCTCACAAAATCGGTGCTGCCATCCTACCTAAAATAATCCTCCCCAATCACCTCTATCCCATTGCCATATTTATTTTGTCATAGCACTTACCACTTGAAATAGAACTGTTTACTATTGACTGCCTCCCCTACTGGAATGTTAAGTTCTGCCAGAGCAGGGACCTCATCTATCTTGTTACCACGGTACCTCCTGTACCCAGCATAGGAACTGGCACATGGTGGGCACTCAATACATATCTGCTGAATGAGTAAGGGACTCTTACTTCATCCTACTCACTCATTGCACAGACAGGGAAACTAAGGACCAGAAAGAGGGTATGGCTAACCCAAGTTGGTCCAAGGCTAGGACCTAGGACTCCTGGGTCCTGGCCTCAGGGTCTTTCTACTGCAACACATAACCTCCCTGGTTGCTGTTGAAAAAAAGACTGGGTTCATTTAGAGCAGAGAGGAAGGCAGAGGCCCTTGCCTGGATCATCTTTCCTAAGCTGGCTCTCTGTTGGCAGATCCACATCAGAGCCTACCTGCATGACCTCAAGCGGGCCAAGATGGGTCTCGGGGGCATGCCTGACAGGAACCACCTGGCCTGTGCCAAGGCTGACCTTGAGGAAGTGGTCAGGGTGTGCCCAGGCTTCAAGGCGTACCTGGACATCGGCCAGGTAAGGCAGTCTCTTGGCTTAGCCAATAGCTGAGCAAGAATCTGTTTACTCCTTGCCAGGCTAGACCAAGGGCTAGGCCAAGATGCAGAGGAAAAAGTTTCACTCCCTGATAACAGTACCCATCTCCTCCAGCCGTGGTGAGGACTGAATAAGACGTGTGTACAGTATTTAGAATAAGGCTTGGCTCTTCCTAAGCACTCAGGAAGTGTGGGCATTATTCTTTATCTAGAAGATACCTATTCTCTATCTGTGTTCAGGGAATGTTTACCAAGAAGTGACAATATCATAATTTTAGGTACAAGAAAACCGAGATCCAGAGATTGACTCACTCAAGGTTATATAGCTAGGTGTGAAGGGGCTGGAACTGGAATCGGGGTACTCCTTTTCTAGAGGAGCAGGAATAAAACGTGTGATTAATAATTGTCGATGGAGAGAGGGTGGGAATGAGTGAAGGAGTGGAATTTTTTTTTAAAGCAAGCGTGGGGCGGGAATGAGCGTGGAGCCGCGCCTGCGGTGAAGGGCTCACCCCGCGTCCCCGACCCCAGGTCTACTACTATATGGGCGTGGACGCGGTGCAGGAGCTGCTGGCGGTGGACGAGGCGGCGCTGAACCAGGCGCTGGTGTTCCTGGCCAAGGCGGGCGAGTCGGAGCTGGGTGCCACGCTGCCCGAGCTGCAGCTGCTGCGCGGCAAGTGCCTGCGCATCAAGGGCGAGGACGCCAACGCGGCCGCCTGCTTCAAGCGCGCAGTGGAGCTGGACGACGCGGGCTCCAGCCACACCGACGGCTTCGGCTGCCTGCTCGAGGCGCTGCTGGCGCAGTGGAGCCAGGCACAGCTGAGCGACGGGGAGCTGGGCCGCGAGGTGGACGCCTGGCTGCGCCGCGCCCAGGACAAGTACCCCGCGGCGCGCCTGCGCCAGGAGCTGCAGCGCGTGTGGCGCGGGCACACGGACGAGGTGTTGGGGCTGGCCCGGGCCCTGGTGGCCCAGGGACGGCCGGCGCTGGTGCGGCTGCTCTTCGAGACCATGGAGCGCGAGGGCGAGGGCGCCAGCGCGCCGCGGGACCGCCGGGCTGTCTCATTCTAGGGCTCAGGTGCCCAGGCCGGAGGCTCCCTGGGACCCCGCCCAGGCCCCGCCCAGCTGATGGGACCAGGTCCGGATGGACTCCCTGCCTTAGGCTGACCTGGGAGCGGAGCCAGTTCGATTCTTGGTCGGGAATTGTGAATGGGGATGTTGCGACACCCGCGCGGTTTGAAACGCCCACCCAGACTGGAAGGCCTGATTCCCGAGAGCAGAAGAGGCTGGGAGCAGAGGTGAGAAAACACTGGGAAGCTGCCAATTAAGGGACAGAATTTTCTAGACATACAGGTAAAATAAGATGGTTGTGAGGCTTCTGAGAGAAACAGAAGACAGCTACCTCAGTGTGGCAGTTTTCTAGTCCGGGCGCTCAATCCCTCAGGCCTGAGTGCCTGTCTTTGGACTCCGGTAGGCCACACTCTATCCTTATGAGAAAGCCCCGTTTACTTTAGTTGACTGGAGTGTGGTCTCAGCTCCTGCAGCCAGAAAAGCCCTGACTAAAGCAGAGGGCAGGGTGGCACGGCGAGTGAGTTACGGGACAGGGCCCTAGCCTAAGCCTCGTGCTCAGGGCTCATTCCTGCCTCTCTGCTACTTTTCTAGTAGGCCTCCTTCTTGGTCCGCTTGGCCCAAAAGGCCTCCCAAATGCTCTGAAATAGAGCTCATCAATAGAACCTTCACTTGATTTCCCTCTTCTTGGGGGAAACTAAGGGCGCCACCCATTAGGAGGTGCCACCTGCCCCCCCCCTTTTTTTTTTTTTTTTTTGAGAGGGAGTTTCGCTCTTGTTGCCCATGCTGGAGTGCAATGGCACGATCTTGGCCCACTGCAACCTCCATCTCCTGGGTTCAAGCGATCTTCCCGCCTCAGCCTTCCAAGTAGCTGGGATTACAGACGTGTGCCATCAGGCCTGGCTAATTTTGTATTTTTAGTAGAGACAGGGTTTCGCCATGTTGGTCAGGATGGTCTCGAACTCCTGACCTCAACTGATCCACCCGCCTCAGCCTCCCAAAGTGCTAGGATTACAGGTGTGAGCCACTGCACCCGGCCCTGCCCCCAGTCTTGACCATTCTACTAATTTTAAAGAACATCTTGGAATTTTACACTCTTGGAATCATAGTCGTAGAATCCTTTTTTTGAGACAGAGTCTCACTCTGTCGCCCAGGCTGGAGTGCAGTGGCCAGATCTCAGCTCACTGAAACCTCAGCCTCCCAAGTTCAAGTGATTCTCGTACCTCAGCCTCCTGAGTAGCTGGAATTCCAGGCTGTACTCACTGCTTTGCTCATATCCTCGCTCATTACCAGGGACAGGCCAGCACCCCTGCATTGCATCTCACATATCCACTGATGGATGGAGAACAGACTGAAATTCAGTGCCTTAGAGACCACACACTCCAACCCCCTCATTGTGCAGATGGGAAAACTGAGAGCCATAGAAGGGAAGTGGCTTGCCCAAAGCCACACTTACTGTTTTCCCCACACTGTACCACAAACTTTCACCATTCTTCAGGTTTGGAAAAATACTAATAAACTGATCAACACTAAAGTATTCAGTGTTTATATGTTAAAGGTTTGTGTGTCACTTGTTACACGAGTCACTCTGATATCCACTTGGACAATGCTTCAACACTAACGGTGGCATTCCGGGTACCTGTGAAATATGGCAGGGAGGCCACCCTAAGTCTCCTGAATTCTACCTCATGGGTCACCATGGTTCACCACTTTGAATGGTGACATTCTCTCTCACCCTCCTTCTCCTCTCACCACCATTGCAGCAGAGGCCAGGAGGTGACTCCACAGCAGGCCACACGCACCCCTGTCCACTTCTATCCCCCACCCACCCCTATCCCTCTTATGCCCAAGACTGTGACCCATGACCATCCCTAGGATGGGAACCCATTTCTTTCTTCTCCTTCCTTAAACAAACAAACTGAATTTAAGGCAGTCTTCTGGCAAAACTTAGAGGTTGATGAAGTTTATCTTTTGCCCCAGGCTCCCTAGTTTGTTTCCTTTCTTGCCTTTCCTGTCCCTAAAGGCATGCATTTCTCCCTCCATTGCTTCCCTGTCCTCTCATAACTTTTTCAGTAAACTTTCTGATAATCTCGTTCACCCTAATTATATAAATGGTTAACACATGCCCGCTATAGCTTTTCTCAGGAGTATCTGCATATTAACAAAAAGCCAAAGAGAGATAGGAAACCCCATTTCCCAGACTGCCTACTCTGTGCTAATCTCATGTAATCTCATTTAATGCAATCTCATGGTGTAGTCTCACTTAATGTTCTCAACAGCTCTGAAGGTTAGGTATTAGAATCCTCATTTACAGATGAGAAAATTGAGACACAGAACAAGGTCACAGGTAAGTATGTGAAGGGCCAGGATTTGAACCAGACCAGCCTCGTTCAGTGCTCTGTCCTGGAACACGGACCTGTGCAAGAGCTGTGTCATCTTCGGTCTGGAGTTGGGCCTCTTCCATGTCCTGTGAGCACCAACCCTACCTGTTACTTTACCCCTCATCTCTGCTCCCACACTGCCTTAACCTTGGTGCCTTTGTCCACCCTTTTCCTCCACTGGCTTTTTTCCTGTCATTTCTACCCCAAATGGTCTGCTCAAAGGCACCTCCTCCAGGAAGTCTTGCACATCCTTTCAGCTCTCATTAATCACTCCCTTTCACGCATGGAGAGCTCTTGGGCATTTTGTCCCACTGTGTTGCATTTCTTTCCTTCTCTTTGCATGTCCATTGCCCCCACTCAACTCTGGGTTCTTCATAGCAGGAACCACAACTCATTTGGCCCCATGGCCCACAGTGTACTTGGCATATAAGACAGACTTAGTTTTGGATGTTGAACTGAGTAAATGCCCAGCAGTGATGTGGCACCTCAGTCCCAAAGATGTGGCTCCATTACCAAGTCCAATGACAGAGGCTGGGGCCAGCTCTGCAGCCCAAGGACCCTTGAGGTCTAGAGCTCAGCCAGGAAACATGGCCTTTCTTCCTACCCCCTATCCAGCCTCATGCCAGTTCCCCAATTCTGTGATTGGGAAACTGAGGCCCAAAGAGCAGGGACTTGTCCAAACCTCCAGACTCATTGTATTAGTCCCTTCTTACATGGCTACAAAGAAACATTTGAGACTGGGTAATTTATAAAGAAAAGAGGTTTAATTGACTCATGTTTCCTTAGGCTGTATAGGAAGCATGATGCTGGCATCTGGTCGGTTTCATGGGAGGCCTCAGGAAACTTTCAAATCATGGCAGAAGGTGAAGGGGAAGGAGGCACGTCTTACATGGCCAGAGAAGGAGCAAGAGAGAGGGGCGGGGTGCAACAACCGGATCTGGTGAGAACTCTATCATGTCAACAGCACAAGGGGGATGGTGCTAAACCATTCATGAGAAACCTCCCCCATGATTCAATCACCTCCCACCAGGCCCCACCTCCAACACTGAGGATTAAAATTCCACGTGAGATTTGGGTGAGGACACACAGCCAAACCATATCACTCATGGTACAGCGCTGTCCACCCTTTTAGGGATGCCTGCTTGCCAGTTTCACTTCTGTCACATTCGGGAAGACTACAGGTTTTCCATTCACTCACTCAACAGATATTTACCAAGCACTGGTCAAGTGCCAAGCATACTGCCAAGCTCTGGAGCCATAGTGGGAAACAAAACAGACCCTGTCCTTGCCTTTAGGAGCTCACAGTCTAGACCGTGATGAGCAAGTTATACTGGGCCCTAGGGACCAGTAGGAAACCTAAGAGAAGCTACTGAAGGTTTTAGCTGGCAACCTCAGTCTCTCCACACTAGCCATACTCATCCTGGGTTAGTGGCCTTTCCACAGCCCAGTGGAGAAGAGGGCATGGCTGTTCCCAGACCTTGGGATTTGGCCTATGGCTGCCCCCTTCAATAAGTCACCGCTAAGGCCAGGCCTTGCAGTCCACAGGGACAGCAGCTTCAATGGGCGAGTGATGTTTAAGTATGGCTTTGAGCCCTGTGGGACACCCCTGCCCACTAGGCTGCTGGGAGGATCAACTGTCATACAGTGGAAGCAGCAGGAGGTCCTCGAGGGAGCACTGCAGAGTGAAAGCCTTAATGACCCCATAATCAGAATAATGAAGACGAATCACACCTTGTTCTGCCTGCTCACTCCTTCTGTGTCATGCCATCATCAGGCAGCCAGAAACTCCTGTTCAGACAGCAGGGGCCAGGCATGTTAAAGATCATGAAAATGGGTGAGATTTCTCAGGTATACATTTCTAGAGTCTCAGAGTTGGAAAGAACTTTAATCATAAGCTTTTTTGCCCCCACCCCCCACCCTGCCATCTAGAGCAGACTCTTCTCTACAGTGAGTCTTCTGAAAGGAGGGTCTAGCCAACACTTGCATGCCTCTGGCAGACAAACAGCTCACTACCTCATGAAGGAATCATTTTTCAACAGGTCTAAGTCTTCTGAGTTTGTCCTTCTATTGAGTTGAAATCTGTAATTTTCCTTGGTTCAAGTTCACCTTCTTGGGCCATATAGAACAGGCCCTAATAAGCAGAGTGACCTTGAACAAGTTACTTTCCCTCTGTTTTGGCACCTATTGCAGTGTTTGAGCTGTTCAGAGGGTGGCTGGCTACTCTGCCAGCAGCCAGGCTGAGCTCTGACCTGGCCACCCAGCCTGGAGCCTGCAAAGAGTGGGTGCTAGAAGCTGAAAGCAGAACAGAACAGATTAGGGCTCCTCTCCATCCCTAGCCAGACCCCAAGGGAGCACCCTGTGTGGATAATGGTGGCTGGATGCCAAATGAAGTGAAATATCTCCTTTTCTCAGGCTGTTAACTTTTTTTCTTGTTTAAGGAAGGGGAGGATAATGACATTTAGCACTTTACAACTTAGCAGTAAAATGAGCAGATGGAAACAGATCCCCGGCATTGCGGGCACGCTTCCAGTGAGAAACCCTCCCCGGCTCCTGGGGCCGGAGTCTCTGGTGGAGCTTGCTGATGAGGTTAGAGACACCTTGGCTTCCCTCCTTCTCCCCAGCTCCTCCTGCCACACAGCACCCCAGGCTGCACAGCCGGCTCTACACCTGCTTTCACTTCCCACTTCCTTGCCTCTGCTCCCCATGATCCACTACCTAGGGCACCTTTCCTGCCTCCCAGGTCTCATTGGAATACAACCTCTGTAGTGTTTTGTTTGTTTTGTTTTGTTTTTTTGAGACAGAGTCTTGCTCTGTTGCCCAGGCTGGAGTGCAGTAGCACAATCTCGGCTCACTGCAATCTCTGCCTCCTGGGTTCAAGCGATTCTCCTGCCTCAGCCTCCTGAGCAGCTGGGACTACAGGTGCGTGCCACCACGCCTGGCTAATTTTTGTATTTTTAGGAGAGACAGGGTTTCACCATGTTGGCCAGGCGGGTCTCGAACTCCTGACCTCGTGATTCGCCCGCCTCGGCCTCTCAAAGTGCTGAGATTAGCATCATTCCCATTTTACAAAGAAGGAAACTGAGGCTCAAAGAGATTAAGTAACTCTCCTGAGGTCCCTTTATACAGCATTGAATGGCAGGCAGGCTAAAGAGTGCTAATGAATGGCTTTTTAACTATTTGGGGTTTAAATTATTTTCTCTTCTATCACATATGTTGCTCTATACACTGAATACATAAAATTAGGATGGATGTTTTGTGTTTGTGTTTCCAAACCAGTCAATAGCTCTTTGGTGAGGCTTGTTCTATTTTGGCATGTAAATTGTTTCATTAAACTTGCAGCTCCTCTGTGAGTTTTATTTGTCACCCACAAAATAAAATAAACAAACGAAAGAACTCTTCCTGTACAGGAGATCCATTTTTTCACCTGCCCAGCCCCCTCCCTGCTGGGAGTAGCACACCTCTTCTTGGTGGGCTACTAACTGCTCCTCCCCTCACTATGAGTGGTGGTGGAGGTTGCCAATCATAATATCCCGCCCCCGATCTGAAGAGCACGCACGTGACCCAAGCTGGGCCAATCAGAGTCCTTCCCAGAGAGTTTTCCAACTGGGCACGAGAGAAAATGCTCTTTGCCTCTCTGCTAGCACAGAGAGGTAGAGACACAGCTATTAGTGACTGCCCCACTTAGGATTAGTCTTAGCGCTGAGCGTCAAAGACGTGAAAAACAGTATATTAAACAAGATGGGGGCTTATCCTGCAAGGCCAGCCCAAGTATCACTAAAGTGCCCTGCCCACATTCCCTCTGCCCTCACCCACCAGGTGCGTGCCCTTCATCCTACCGCAAGCATCTGTCACTCTCAATCGAGGGCTCTCTCTCAGCCCAAGCAGACGGGAAGCACCGGGTGGTCAGTGGCCCCAGGAGCAGCCTTCCGCTAATAATGGTGAATGGACATTGGAGGATAAATATCCCAGCCTCCTAAGTCCTGGGAGTAGGATAATTCTGAGGCAGCCTGGCATTGTCTCCCAGAGGGATTGAGGTGCCCAGAGGGATTGAGGCCCAGTTGTCTGCAGCAAAACCTGCTCATTATCACACCTTGTATTCATTTCCCTCCCCTCTTATTTCCCCACTCCCCAGCAGTGCTTCCTGGGATCACTACAAAATAAACTACTTGCCCTTGAATCCTTGACTTAGGGTCTGCTTCTGGGGGAAGCAGCTTTGCACACTGTGATAATTAATTTTATGGATCAACCTAGTTGGACTACTGCTATGGTTTGAATGTATCTGTCCCTCTGAAATTCATAGGTTGGAACTTAAACCCCAATGTGATGGTATTGAGAGATGGGGCTTTGGGGGAAGTGATTAAGTCATGAGGGTTCTGATCTTAGGAATGGATTCGTGCCCTTATAAAAGAGGCTTCAGGGCTGGGCGCGGTGGCCTGTAATCCCAGCACTTTGGGAGGCCAAGGCGGGCAGATCACCTGAGGTCAGGAGTTAGAGACCAGCCTGGTCAACATGGGGAAACCCTGTCTCTACTAAAAATACAAAGTTAGCCAGGCATGGTGGCGCGCGCCCATAGTCCCAACTACCTGGGAGGCTGAGGCAGGAGAATCCCTGGAAGCCAGGAGGTGGAGGTTGCAGTGAGCCAAGATCACACCACTGCACTCCAGCCTGGGCAGCAGAGAGAGATTCCATCTCAATAAGTAAATAAATAAATAAATGAAAGAGGCTTCAGAGAGCTGGCTGGCCCTTACTAGCCTTCCATTTCTGCTGCCATGTGAGGACGCAGCACTGGTCCCTTTTTGTCCCCTTCCACCATGTGAGCATGCAGCAAAAACGTGCCATCTTGGAAGCAGAGAGCAGCCCTCACCAGAAACTGAAAGCAAGTGACTTGATCTTGGACTTTCCAGTGTCCAGAACTGTAAGAAACAAATTTCTGGGCCGGATGCGGTGGCTCACCCCTGTAATCCCAGCACTTTGGGAGGCCAAGGCAGGAGGATCACCTAAGGTCAGGAGTTCGAGACCAGCCTGGCCAACATAGTGAAACCCTGTCTCTACTAAAAATACAGAAATTAGCTGGGCAGTAGAGGTGCGCACCTGTAATCCCAGCTACTCGAGAGGCTGAGGCAGAAGAATCGCTTGAGCCTGGGAGGTGGAGGTTGCCAGTGAGCCAAGATCGTGCCACTGCACTACAGTCTGGGCAACAAAGTGAGACCAAGCCTCAAAAAAAAAAAAAAAAAAAAAAAAGACATTTCTGTTCTTTATAAACTACCCAGTCTCAGATATTCTGTCATCGCAGCGCATACACACTAAGACAACTAGTGCCCAGATATTTGGTTAAATATTATTCTGGATGTTTCTGTGAGAGTATATTTTGGGTTTTTTGGGTTTGTTTTGTTGGTTTTTTTTTTTATTTTTTTGAGACAGAGTCTCACTCTGTCACCCAGGCTGGAGTGCAGTGGCACGATCTCGGCTCACTGCAACCTCTGCCTCCCAGGTTCAAGTGATTCTCCTGCCTCAGCCTCCTGAATAGCTGGGATTACAGGCGTGTGCCACCATGCCTGGCTCATTTTTGTATTTTTAGTACAGTCGGGGTTTCACTATGTTAGCCAGGCTGGTCCTGGAGAGTATATTTTGAATGAGACTAACATTTTAATCTGTGGGCTTCAAGTAAAGCAGACTGGCCTCCCTAATGTGGGTGGGCCTCATCCAATCAGTTGAAGGCCCAACTAGAACAGACTGACCTCCCTCAAGCAAGAGGGAATTTGGACTTGAACTGCAACATTGGCTCTTCCCTGGGTCTCCAGCCTGCTGGCCCACTCTGCAAATATTGTGCTTGCCAGCCTCCATAATCATATGAGCCAATTGCTTAAAAATACATCTCTTGCTCTTTCTTTCTTTCTCTCTCTCTCTCTCACACACACACATCCTATTGGTCTTTTGGTTCTGTTTCTCTGGAGAACTCTTATACAGACATCCTTGAAGTCCTCCCTCATCCCAAGGGGCAGAGCCACCACCTCAGTTCTCCCACAGCACTTTCTTCGTGCCTCTAATACAATTTATCATAGCCTATCTTGTCATATTTATTAAGTACAAAATAGGAAGGAATATGTATTTATTGAGTGCAGCTGTGTACCAGGGACTATACCAGGTGTCTCTGGGAGTCCTGTGCTCATTTGTTCACAATTAATTCAGTCAATAAATATTTATTGAGCAGCTACTAGGTTGGTGCAAAAGTAATCATGGTTTTTGCCATTACTTTTGCATCAAGCTAATACAATGTGCCATGAGTTGATCTAGGCCAGGAATTGGCAAACTGTGGCCCACAGGCCAAATTCTGGCTGCTGCCTGCTTCTTTTAAAAAAAAAAAAAAGTTTCTTTTTTGTTGTTTTTGTTTGTTTGTTTGAGACACGGTCTCTCTCACTCTGTCGCCCAGGCTGGAGTGCAGTGGTGAGATCTAGCTCACTGCAACCTTGAACTCCTGGGCTCAAGCAATCTTCCTGCCTCACTCTCCTGAGTAGCTGGGACTACAGACAGGCACTACAGTGCCTGGCTAATTAAGCCAAGTTTCACTGGAACACAGCCATGCTTATCTGTTTACATATTTCTATAGCTGCTTTCGTGCTGCAGTGACAGAGTTGGTTAGTTAGGACAGAAACCATATGGCCTGCAAAGGCCGGGCGCGGTGGCTCACGCCTGTAATCCCAGCACTTTGGGAGGCCGAGGCAGGTGGATCATGAGGTCTGGAGATCGAAACCATCCTGGCTAACACAGTGAAACCCCGTCTCTACTAAAAATACAAAAATTAGCCGGGCATGGTGGTGGGCACCTGTAGTCCCAGCTACTCGGGAGGCTGAGGCAGGAGAATGGCATGAACCCGGGAGGTGGAGCTTGCAGTGAGCCGAGATTGCGCCACTGCACTCCAGCCTGGGCGAAAGAGCGACACTCTGTCTCAAAAAAAAAAAAAAGAAAGAAAGAAAAAAAAGAAACCATATGGCCTGCAAAGCCTAAAATATGCTCTGGCCATTTACAGAAAATTTTTGGTGCCCTCAGTCTAGGCACGGGGATGCTGCAGTGAAGAAAACTTTTAAACAAAAATCCCTACCCTCATGGAGCTTACATTCTACTGGGGCTAGGGGTGGGGTGGGGAACAGAATACAAGTAAACCAAAAGATGCGAAAGATATTTACTATATTAAATGGCAATAAATGCTATGGAGAAAAATGAAGCAAGAGAGAGAGTATCAGGAGTGCTGGAGGTGCTGGAAGTAGGAGTAGATTGAAGCGAAAAATAGGGTGTCAGGAAGTTCTGGCTTCAAAGGTGACATTCCAGCAAAGACACAAAGGAGGCGAAGGAGTGAGCCCTGTGGAAATGGGGCTGCGGGGACAGCTGCCAGTTAGAGGAGCAGCAGGTGCAAGGGAGTATTAACAATGGTTAATGCTGGATGAGCACTCTGTGCCGGGGCCCTTTGAGTGCTTTACGTACCTAATCTCATTTAATTACTTAAAAGTCATTATCTCATTATACCCTTAATCTTACAAACAGATGATCTGAATATACGTCTATCACTAATGTATTTCTATCACTAATACAGTTCTTTCAGTTTGCAAAGTTTTGTACTGTTGTTTGCTTGATCCCCAAAACATTTCAGGGGGGTTACCGACCCCATCATAGAGTAACTGAAGGCCAGATAGGTCTAATCACTTGCCCGGATCACACAGCCAGTGAATGCTGAAGCTAGGAAGAAAACCCAGGTATGTCTGGATCCAGATGTTGCACTCCCCTCTCTAAGCCACCAACTTTGGAGGGCATGGACTCTACCATGTTTAACATTGTATTCGTCAACCCCACACGCCTAAACCAAAAGCCTGCACCAAAGAGAAAAGGGGGTTTTCTCAAAAGGAACTGAATTCCCATCATCGTTCCAGATGAGGGACACCAGATAAACTGCTGGAATCACACCCAGACACACATACATTTGATTTTTGCCTTTGTCCTGGAGCACCCACACTGTGCCCCAGACTACTGGCTGTGCCCAGTGCTCCATAGAGCTAACCTAAAGAGGTGTTCCAAAAGAAGTTGTTGGTGGCTGGGTACAGTGGCTCATGCCTGTAATCCCAGCACTTTGGGAGGCCGAGGCAGGTGGATCACCTGATGTCAGGAGTTCGAGGCAAGCCTGACCAACATGGTGAAACCCCATCTCTACTAAAAATACAAAAAATTAGCTGGGTGTGGTGGCAGTTGCCTGTAATCCCAGCTACTTGGGAAGCTGAGGCAGGAGAATCGCTTGAACCCAGGAAGCGGAGGTTGCAGTGAGCCGAGATCATGCTATTGCACTCCAGCCTGGGCGACAGAGAAAGACTCTGTCTGAAAAAAAAAAAAAAGAAAGAAAGAAAAGAAAGCAAAAGAAGTTGTTGGTTGGCAGATTAACTATTACTGGTTTTGCTCTATTGCATTTTTAGCAGGGCATTATTATGAATTGATGGAATTATTTAGAAATACATTAATTTGGCCAATATGTATTGAGATTCATTATGACATCTAGCAGGGCCAGAGATAAACATGGGCCCTCCCCTCTGGGAGCTTGCAGTCTAGTGGGATAAAGAGATGAACTTTTTGTATGTGCTACATAACCTGCTGTGTGCCAGGCATCATGCCAGCCATGGGCACTGCCATCAACATCAACAATAATAATAATAGCAAACATTATTGAACCCTGATTATGCGCCAGGCACTGTACTAAGCCCTTTACATGGGCAAACTCATTTCATCTTCATTACAGCTTCATGAGGGAGATGTCACTACTATTTTAAGGATAAGGCATCTGAGGTTTGAGGAGGTTGAGTATCTCACCAATGACCATATGGTAAGTAGGTAACAAAATGAGGATTTGCACTCAGGTCTGTTTGCCCTGTCACACTTACACACACAATTGTGACACATGTCAGAGAGTGAGCCGGTCAGATGGGAGACAAAGACAAAATTATAAGGGGTGCCAGGAGAGGGAGAGTCTCTGCCCAAGGGGCCTTCAAGGAAGGGCTCCTGATGGGGGTGCCACTGAGCTGAAGAGCAGGCCTCCAGACAGAGGGGCCAAGTCAGACAGGGTCTGTTTGGGTGATTGCTCCTGCAGTTTTGGTGCTGGGTCAAGACATGCCTGATACAAATAAGTTGCTATTGGAAGCTGTGAGTGTAGACATCAGGCTGTGCATCCAACAAGCCCGGGTATGACTCCCTTCTTCCCCGTTTACTAATTGTGTTGACCATGGAGAAGCCAACCAAATTTTCTGAGCCGTGGTTGCCTCATTTGTAAAATGGATATAACCGTGATATTTATGCCTCCTGGAGATGTTCTAAGGATTTAATCAGACATAGGGGTAAAATGGGCCAGGCGTGGTGGCTCACGCCTGTAATCCCAACACTTTGGGAGGCCAAGGTGGCAGATTGCCCGAGCTCAGGAGTTCTGGACCAGCCTAGACAACATGTGAAACCCCGTCTCTACTAAAATACAAAAAAAAAAAAAAAAAATAGCTGGGCGTGCTGGTGTGCACCTGTAGTCCCAGCTACTCAGGAGGCTGAGGCATGAGAATTGCTTGAACCTGGGAGGCAGAGGTTGCACTGAGCCGAGCTCAAGCCACTGCACTCCATCCTAAGCGACAGAGCAAGACTGTGTCTTAAAAAAGAAAGAAAGAAAGAAAGAAAAAGACATGGGTGTAAAGTAGTTAATATTGTCCCTGGCACATGGCAAGGGCTCCATAAATGTTACTGATGATGTGGATGGTGATGATAGTAGTAGCCACACTCTAATTCTGAGGACTCCTCATAAAAACAGAGTCCCACCTTCCTGATCCCTGCTGGCCTCCACTCTGCTAGGCTTAGGCACTGAAAAAATGAACAAGTGGTGTGCTCTGGGCCCAAGGAGAAGGGGCTCTCAAAGACCAAAGATTTGCATCCTACACAGTGGCGAGAGTGGGGAGTCTTTCAGAACCAGAGGCAGCAGCAGTAGGATGAGGGTTCTCTCCTTACGATGGATGAGGGGAGCAGTAAGGTCCCCAGAGTCAACATGGGAGAGAAAGTGAGTAAATAAGTGTTGAGGGATGGGCTGGAAGCTTTCGATGACATTGCTCAGTGTCCCTTCATAACAGCCCCATGGGATGCTATTATGATTTCTGTCTTATGGATAAAGAAATGTATAAGTAACTCACCAAGGTCATGTAGCTGAGAAGAGCCTGGGCAGATTCCTAGTCAAGGCCTTCCTGACTGCAAAGCCACCCTCACAGTCCAGCCTGTCTGGGCTGAGCTGGGCTAAGGGTGCAGGGGTGGGCTCAGGAGTCCACCAGGTGGACTGTCTCTGGACAGATGTCTCTGGAATCTGTCTCTTCCTCTCCCACCCACTGCCCTAGTCTGGGCTATTATAGGAGTCTCCTTTCCGGCCTCTCTCGCCATCCTCCTCCTCCAATCTGAGCTCTCACTTCAGACAAAGAAACACAGTGGACCAGTCCTCTCCTGGTGTAGAACCCTCTTTTGCCCACAGGCCTGCTTCTCACATGAGCAGTGTCTGCCTAGGGGCATGCAGCAGAGGAGAAGGCTGCCTCCCTGTGGTGCCAATTATACTTTCAAGTTACGACAAGTCCATGCTACAGAGTGGGACGCAAAGTGTCCAGGGATTGTGCTCAGAGCAGGAGTTTGTGTGTGTTGGGGGGAAGAGAGGGGCAGAGAGGAGTATCGTTCCTCATCAGAAAGGTTTCAATGGCCACAAAGATGGAGATAAACTCAGAGATTTGTCCAGCAGACCCTGCTGCACCTGGCTTCTGATGGCTGTCCAGTTGTGTGTCCATGACACCTGGGGGTGCTCTATGCTCCAGCCAGAACTATCTCTAGCCATCTTCCTTATCAGAAGCAATTTATTGCCTCTCTGACCAGAATGTCTTTCCATCCCATTTTTGGCTTGGGAAGCTCCTATGTATTCCTTAAGGTCAATTCCAAGTACCCCTCCTCTGAGAAGCCCTCCCTGATCCCACCTCATGGCTGAATGTCACGTCCTTTCCCAACCCCCCAATCTGCAGTGTGTTCGCTCGGCACCTTGCACTTCCCTCCTCACAGCTTCTTACCACAGGGCACTGTGTCACCGCTTTCAAAGGCAGCCTCTCCAGGAGGCCGTGAGCTCATGAGGTTGGGGAGTTCATCATTAACTCTGCCTTCATTTGCTTATTCAACACACATTCAGAGCCCCTCCTGATGCCAGGCAAGGGGCTCTGGATGCAAGGACGATTCAGTGTGTCCTCAGAGGAGCCCATGATCTGAGGGAAGACAAACCATCCATTCATTTATTGATTGCTATATTAAAACAACACATAAACCAAAAAGCAAAACCCTGTGATAAGCCCCAACACCGGGCCAGGCCCTCTGCTCAGGGATGAGGATAGAGAAAAAAGCAAAACCTTTTCTTGCCCTCAAGGAGATCCTATTCTGGCTAAGGGAAATTGCTAAGTGCGTGGTGTGTCCCCAGAGCTGTGGGGCACCAAGGCAGGTGTGGAGTCCTCTTCTTGCTTTATTTCTTTGTGATAACCAATTAATAAATGAGGGAATGAATAGATTTTTTTCTGTGTGGGTTTTTTTGTTTTTGTTTTTATTGCAGGGGGTGGAGTGGTGCGTCATGGGGCTTTAACCATGAATAAGCTCTGTAAACTAAGTCATTCAATAAATTCTGATCAATTGATTGACTGAAATATCGCACAGGAAGTCACTAGCAGCAACAGGGCTAGATTCTGGGTTTCCACGACCTTGGGATCTCCACCACCCTGGACTCTCTCAATGGGGAGCAAATCTACTCTGTGACTGTCTTGATAGGACTCTGCAGCCTGGAGCTACAGAGCCTCCTGCAATCTCACAGTAAAATGCAGCATTCTTGGCCTGCCTCCCAAGGGGGTTGTGAGCATTAATTAGTTACCATTGGTAAAGTGCTCTGAAGATGTGGGGGTGTATAAACACGGCAAGTCATTAGGCCTCTCCACACCACTATGCTCTACAGCCTAGGGACTGCTAATTGAGAAATAATTAACACCTCAGGGTGCTGAGGACAGCTGCCTGGCTTTTCCAGGATCGGAAGGGATGTAACAACGTGCACAGGAACAGGGAGAAATTAAAGGCTACTTTGGATATGTAGATCCAAGAAATTCTGAAGTTTATTTGCCCCCTGCCCCCAAAGAGGAGGAGTGAGAAATATCAGTCCAGCGAAACCTCTGGGACTGCACTCCTTGGGGAAAGCCTCTACCACAGCTCTGGGCTATAAAGGCTGAGCAAGGCTCTTAGAGACAAAAGAGCTCAGGTCCACCCCAGCCCTGCCTGGCCTCCTAGCTGGTAGGCAAATGCAGTCGTGTGCTCCACCCAAGCTGTGTTTTCTTCAACTGTAAGACCAGGATAATAACATGGCATCTACCCCTGCCGCCTCCACCACTAGGTTGTCCAGTGCCTTTCCTCTAGGGCTGCAGATCTAACCCCGGTGCACATTAGAATTTCCTGGGGAACTATAAAATAATAATGTCTGCACAACCAGCATCTTGGGACAGAGGGTGGCAGTGGGTGCATATAATGACTCTAATGCAGTCAAGGTTGAGAATCACTGCTCTGGCCTGTGTGCCAAGCTCTGTGTGAGGAGCTGGGAGAAATAAAGATGTAAACCACACCACACCCCATGCTTCCCTCACACTGGCTCATCATTTCCTGAGCTGTGCCTTTGAATGTCCTGGTCCCTCTGCCTGAACATTGGCACTCCACTCCCACTGCCATTCTTGTCTGGGTAGACCCCATTCATCCTTCAGGTCCAGCTCAAAGGTAACCTCCTCAGTGAAGCCTTCTTTTCCCACGCTCCCGCAGGGGTTTGCTCAGCCCCTATCACACCACTGATCACACGGAGTTGTTCCTGGAAGATCCTGTCGTACTGAGAGCTTCTTGGGGCCAGTATCGGAATCACCAGTGTCTTGCATTGGGTCTGGTATGTTTTAGGCATTCAATAACTGTAGTTGTTATCAGGTTGAGTTATATAACATGCAGTTCCCACTTCAGGACATTTGCATTTCTTGTTTCCTGTGTCTGGAAATTTCTTCCCCTGCAAGGCTCTGTCTCTCACCCCCTTCTGGTCTTTGCTAAAAACGCCACCTACTTGATGAGGTTTTTCCTGATCCTCCTATTTTAAATTGCAAACACTTGGCTGGGCGCGGTGGCTCACACCTATAATCCCAACAGTTTGGGAGGCCGAGGTGGGTGTATCACCACCTGAGGTCAGGAGTTCAAGACTAGCCTAGCCAATATGGTGAAACCCCATCTCTACTAAAAATACAAAAAGTAGTCGGACGTGGTGGGCACCTGTAATCCCAGCTACTCGGGAGGTTGAGGCAGAAGAATTGCTTAAACCCGGGAGAAGGAGGTTGCAGTGAGCCGAGAACGCGCCATTGTACTCCAGCCTGGGCGACAAGAGCAAAACTCCGTCTCAAAAAAACAAAGAAAAAAATTGCAAACACTTAACTCCCCCACTCCATTCTCCTTCTCTAATTTTTTCTTTATAGCCCTTATCACCATCTGACTGACAGATTCTTTTAAATTTTGATATTTTGTTTGCCATGGATTTTTTGCATTTTGTTTTTTTAAAAAAACAATTGTATTAAAATACTGTTTATCTTGGTTACTGAGTTCTTTGCTCCCATTCCCTGCCCTGCTTAAATTTCGCTCTATTGGTTTATTGACTGTGTCCTCTCTAGAACACAAGCTACACTGAACGCAGTTAATTTTGTCTGTTTGGTTCACTTCACTGTCCCCAGTGTCTACAGCAGTGGCTTCTACGTGGTAGCAGCTCAAAAAATATTTTGTGAATGGAAGTTTGAATCTGTGTCTTAAAGACTGTCTTGGGCACTGTAATAAAGGCGTCTTTCTCAAACTGTTTCACAATTTTATACTATTTAAATGGAAAGCCCGTAAAAATCATAGGATAGATTAGAAACTACACTGCCCAGTGTGTCGTCATGGTTACACTGTCGCCAGTGGTTCTCCTATTGGGGGAGTGGGCGGGGCCTGGCAGGGGCAGGAAGAGCACCCTCAAGTCATCATAGAGTTATACCTCCCAAGTTCCTAGAAAGTACTTCCGGAACGGTGATTTACTCAAGGCTGCCCTGGCCAATCAACGATCTTGGGGAAAGCCGGGTACTCGCTCTTTGGCTACACTTCCGGAAAACCTCTCACGCGCGCCTAGCGTGGGGCGGGGCCAGAGCGCCCCTGCCCTCGGCCCCGCCTCCGTGAGCGCGGCTTTGCAATTGGCGAAAAGGGCAGGAGGCGGGGCTTAGGAGCGGGCTTGCTCGAGGCGCAAGCGCGCTGGCCCGGCACGGCGGTGGTCTTGCGGGAGGCGTGGGCTGGGATTGCGGTAGGTGAACGTGGGTGACTCCCAGACCTGAGGGACGGGCGCGGGCAGCGAAATGAAGCGAGCACGCGGTGTGGGCGCGGAGACCTAGGACCCTGGTGTCCGTTTTCCCACTTGCATCCCGTCCTTGAGTTGGGGCGGGCGAGAATCCCATAAACTTTTCGATACTCCTGGTCTCCGTGTCCTCCGTTGTAAAATGAGGGCAGCACTTCCTGGTCTCTCCCTCGGTCGTCGTGAGAGTCACACAGTTCTCGAAGTGCCAGCTCTGGAAAGGCCCTGGGACCACCTGCTGCCTGAGCCAGCCTTCCCGTTTTATGTTGGAGAAAACGGAGGTCCGGGGCGAAGTGAGTGGTCCAGGGTCACCGAGCGAGTGAAGGCCGAGCTTGTTCTTAGAACTAGGCCTAGGGTTCCATTGCTGTTTAATGTAGCACAGTTCGTGATGGAAACTGTAGGATTTGGAGGCGGGGACCTTGCCTTCCAGGCCCGACCCTGCGCTTATTTGCTGTGTGGCTTGACACAAGTGACTTTATATTTCAGAGCCTCCCTTTTCTGAGTTGGGCATAATAATAATAATAATAGCACTTTGTGAGACTTAATATTATGTATCAGGTACGGTTGTAAACGCTTTAGGTACAACTTTTCTGATTAGATTGGGGGGCAATGGTGAGTCAAAGAATCTTTAAAAAGGCCTGGGCTGGAAGGGCTGACAGTGTCCCGACAGAGTAGGTACTCAAAAAAATCGACTGAATGTCTCAGAGGCTGTTTGCCAGAGCCTGAAGTGTTGCATACGTTAGTTACTGTATTGCTCCTGAAAAACTGAGATAATTCTACTTATTCTCCTGTTTGTATAAGCTGAGGGGTCTGAGGACAGACATGCTAAACGTGGAGGAGAAGAGTTTAAAGCTCTCGTTTAAATTATCCAGATAATTATATCATTGCACCTGTTTGCTTTGCTCTTAATTTATTAACATATTTGATCAACAGATAATAATAGCCTAAATAGTAGGCATTATGCGAGACTCTGAAATTTAAAGATGTATAAAACTTCATAAACTTGTAATTTCATCAAGGAATAGAATGTTAAACATCGACACTGACCTCCCCTCCTGGCCCCCGTACACACCCCCAGAAAGAAAAAAAATTGTATGTGAAACACCATTCGCTTCCAATGCCTGGCACACAATAGTTCCTCAAAAATATTTTTGGAGATGATTCTAATACAGTATACTAAAAAGAGGTGTGTGCAGTGGAGCACAGAGGAGGTGACTTTCTCTGTTTAGAGGGGTTGGAGAAAGTTTCTTGGAGTAAGTGAACCTTGAATTCCAGTTGGAATTGCTGGGGGTTGGGGGGAGGTCAGTCTGTTTCAAGAATAATGAGCAACTTGGGGAATGCTAGGATAAGAAGCTGGAAGAGGTGTGTTGGGATCAAAATGTGAAGAGCTTTGGTGCCATTCTGAGAAAATTATGAGAGCCAGCCGTTAATGGATTGTAAACAGGGGAGTGATTGGGTCAGCTATCTTTTTAGCTGGAGACTAATACGGAGACTGGACTGACAGGGTTCAAGAATTACTCCATTCATTCATTGATAGAACATGTATTGAGCCTGGGCACAGTGGCTCACACCTATAATCCCAGCAATTTGGGAAGCTGAGGCAGGTGGATCGCATGAGGCCAGGAGTTCAAGACCAGCCTGGGCAACATAGCAAGACTCCATCTCTATTTTTTAAGAAAGAAAAAAAGGAACATGTTATTGAGTGTCCACTGTGTCCAGGCACTGTGCTGAATGCTGCAGATAAAACTTGGAATAAAATAGACATAGCTGTCGTCTTCATGGAGTTTAAGACATTAGTCATTGGTGGTACACAGCTAGACCCCTGCAGTGGTTCTCCCAGTGGGGTCCCTGGACCAGCAGCATCTGTGTCACCTGGGAACTTGTTAGAAATACAGGTTCTCTGCCCACACCCCAAACTTACTAAATGAGAAGCTCTGGAGATGGGCCTCTGCAATCACTGTTTTAACAAACCCAACCGGGCATGGTGGCTCACGCCTGTAATCCCAGCACTTTGGGAGGCCGTGGCGGGCTGATCACTTGAGGTCAAGGAGTTTGAGACCAGCCTGGCCAACATGGTGAAACTCTGTCTGTACTAAAAATATGAAAAATAGTTGGGCATGGTGGCACATGCCTGTAATTCCAGCTACTCAGGAGGCTGAGGCAAGAGAATCTCTTGAGGCTGGGGGTACGGAGGTTGCAGTGATCTGACATTGCACCACTGCACTCCAGCCTGGGTGATAGAGTGAACTCTGTCTCTAAAAAAAAAAAAAAAAAAACAAGCCCTCCAGCGATTCTGATGCTCAATTAGATTTCAGAACCACTGGGTAACTGTAATGTAGCAAGTGGTATTGAGGGGCTAACCTAATGTTGAGGCAGTAAGGGCCAGAAAGGAGGGGGTGGACTTAAGGGAAACCTTGAGACAGACTCATTTGCTTTAGGAGGAATCAAGGATGAGTTTCTGGCTGGAGCCACTGCCCTAAGTAAGGTTGGATCACAAGGAAGTTATAGAGCCAGGGGTGAATCCACATGTGCCTTGCCTCCATGGCCCGTACGTTCCTACAACACCACACTAGGGCTCTGTGGCAGTGCCTGACCACCTTTAAACATTTGTACAGTGCACAGGGGAAATGAATGAGGCTGCTTGAGGTTGGAGGGGACAAGCTGGAGGACCTGAGGCTGCTAGAGGTAACCAGCTGGGAGATCCCAGCTCCCTAGAGCTGAGGGGAATCAGCAACCCATACCCAGCATACTGCCGGGAGCTTTGTTGCATGGACTGTGCTGAAAAGTAGAGGTACTCACTAAATTTGGCAATACAAATAAAAAGTCTCAAAAGAATTTATAGCCTTTGATTCAGTAATTCCATTCTTCAACGCCTCTCCCAAATATATAACAAAAAAAGCCTTCTCTTCATTGTAGATTATGTATAACAGAGAAAACCAACTACTGATTTTTGATGTAATCAGTGGAATGTCGTACTGCCATTAGAAATGTGTGATTATTTTGTAAAATCAGAGAAACATACTTGCCTATTGGACAATGTCTAGTAAGCCCCTGTCATGTGCTGAAGATACAGTGGTGAGCAAGCTAGACAGGTCCTTGCTTGCACTGAGCCAAGTGTCAGGGAGAAGACAGACAGCCAAATGGGCAGGAACCCTAGGAGACAAGTGGGCTATGCGGGAAAAGCCAGCCCTTTGGGGGTATGGGGAGTGGGACAAGAAAGGCTTCCTGGGGAGAGGATGGTAATCCTGAGGCCTAGAGGACGGCTAGATGTTGGCAGGAAAAGGGGAGAGGGGTGTTCTGTGCAAAAGGGACAGTATGTTTAAGAATGGGCATGGGGCCGGGCGCAGTGGCTCACACCTGTAATCCCAGCACTTTGGGAGGCCGAGGCAGTTGGATCACGAGGTCAGGAGGTCGAGACCATCCTGGCTAACACGGTGAAACCCCGTCTCTACTAAAGATACAAAAAAATTAGCGGGCATGGTGGCGGGTGCCTGTAGTCCCAGTTACTCGGGAGGCTGAGGCAGGAGAATGGCGTGAACCCGGGAGGCAGAGCTTGCAGTGAGCCCAGATCGCGCCACTACATTCCAGCCTGGGTGACAGAGCGAGACTCCGTCTCAAAAAAAAAAAAGAGTGGGCGTGGCAAAGCCTGATCAGAGAGGGGGCAGTGGTGAGATGAGGCCCAAGGGGGTCAGCTTATGTGGGGCTGTGCACACCCTGAAAGTCAGAAGCTTAGACCTTATTCTAAGGGTAGCAGGAGGCCGTTATAACCAAGAAAAGCTGTTAGCATCTGTGCTTGGGAAGTCTCCCCTGTGGCTGCAGTATAGAGAATGGATTGAAGGAGGGCAGGAGTGGAAGTCAGGAGACCAGTGGGGAGGCTGTTGCAACCATCCAGGTGAGAGATGAGGGTGGCCTGGACCTGGGCGGAGGCTGTAGAGAGAAGAGGGACAGATTGAACAGCAAGTGAAGAGGTAGGAATGACAGGGCCAAGAGGGCTGTGAACGTGGGACACAGAGAGGAGCAGAGCAGGCGAACCCCACATTCTGGTTTGGGCAAAGTGCAACTTTTGGTGCTATTCACAATGACAGGCAGTGCTGGAGGGGGAGTAGGTTTGCGGGGAGAATGCTGAGTTCATTCTGGGACACAGAGTTTTGAAGTACCTACCTGATGTATTCTCCAGGAGGCAGGTGGAGATTTTGAGTCAGCTCTCAGCATGCAGGCTGTCCAGGGAGTGTGTGCTGTAAAGAGGGAAGAGGCCCATGACATTTAAATATTGGGGGCAGGTAGAGGAACAAGAGAGGGATGTGCAAAGGACAGGGTTTGCAAGAGACAGATGGCAACAAAACGTCAGCTGCAGTTGACTCCAGGCTGAGGGATTACAGTTGATTTTCTTTTCCTTTTTTTTTTTCTTTGAGACAGAGTCTCACTGTGTTACCCAGGCTGGAATGCAGTGGCGTAGTCTCAGCTCACTGCAACCTCCACCTCCCAGGTTCAAGTGATTCTCCTGCCTCAGCCTCCCAAGTAGCTGGGATTACAGGCGTGTCACCATGCCCAGCTAATTTTTGTGTTTTTAGTAGAGACAGGGTTTCGCCATGTTGGTCAGGCTGGTCTCAAACTCCTGACCTCAGGTGATCTGCCCATCTTGGCCTCCCAAAATGCTGGAATCACAGACATAAGCCACCATGCCCAGCCTTCTTTTCTTTTTTGTTTTCAGATTTCCCCCCTAGTTTTCTATAATAATAATAGCAGACATTAGTTGAGCTCATAGTACATGCCAGATACTGTTCCAAGAACTTTTATAACTCTTCTAAGTGTCCACAATAAGCCTAGAAGGTAGGTTCTGTTGTTATTACCATTTTACAGATGAAGAAACAGCACAGAGGGGTTAAGACACATGTCCCCAGCTACACAGGGTGCAGCCATTGGGAGGCCTGACTGGAATCCAGGCTGCCTGATTCCAGAGCCTGTGCACTCACTACATGACGCTGTCTCTCCACAGGATGTTGTTAATGTTTTTATAATCAGGAAAATATTGATTTTTCAAAAACGGAAGTAAGAGGTTAGAGAAATAGTGCTTTGATCTGCTAGGATATTAGAAATGGAAGGATTTGTATCTGCAAAATCAGTGGCTGCCTTCGAAGTTTGTTGAGAGCAGGCTGGGTTGGCTGCTTCATGGTGTTGGAACACGGATGAGGCTCATTCTCACACAACTCATTTTTCCTCAGGTGCCTGTGCTTCCCGGTGCCAGGGTGTCATGGAAGGGCTGCTGACAAGATGCAGAGCATTGCCCGCCCTGGCCACCTGCAGCCGCCAGCTCTCTGGGTATGTTCCTTGCAGGTTTCACCACTGTGCCCCAAGAAGAGGGCGGCGCCTGCTGCTGTCTCGTGTGTTCCAGCCACAGAACCTTCGGGAAGACCGGGTGCTCTCCCTGCAGGACAAATCTGATGACCTGACCTGTAAGAGCCAGCGGCTGATGCTGCAGGTGGGCCTGATCTACCCAGCAAGCCCCGGCTGTTACCACCTCCTGCCATATACCGTCCGTGCCATGGAGAAGCTCGTGCGAGTGATAGACCAGGAGATGCAGGCCATCGGGGGCCAGAAAGTCAACATGCCCAGCCTCAGCCCGGCAGAGCTCTGGCAAGCCACCAACCGGTGGGACTTGATGGGCAAAGAGCTGCTAAGACTTAGAGACAGGCATGGCAAGGAATACTGCTTAGGACCAACTCACGAGGAAGCCATTACGGCCTTAATTGCCTCCCAGAAGAAACTGTCCTACAAGCAGCTTCCCTTCCTGCTGTACCAAGTGACAAGGAAGTTTCGGGATGAGCCCAGGCCCCGCTTTGGTCTTCTCCGTGGCCGAGAGTTTTACATGAAGGATATGTACACCTTTGACTCCTCCCCAGAGGCTGCCCAGCAGACCTACAGCCTGGTGTGTGATGCCTACTGCAGCCTGTTCAACAAGCTAGGGCTGCCATTTGTCAAGGTCCAGGCCGATGTGGGCACCATCGGGGGCACAGTGTCTCATGAGTTCCAGCTCCCAGTGGATATTGGAGAGGACCGGCTTGCCATCTGTCCCCGCTGCAGCTTCTCAGCCAACATGGAGACACTAGACTTGTCACAAATGAACTGCCCTGCTTGCCAGGGCCCATTGACTAAAACCAAAGGCATTGAGGTGGGGCACACATTTTACCTGGGTACCAAGTACTCATCCATTTTCAATGCCCAGTTTACCAATGTCTGTGGCAAACCAACCCTGGCTGAAATGGGGTGCTATGGCTTGGGTGTGACACGGATCTTGGCTGCTGCCATTGAAGTCCTCTCTACAGAAGACTGTGTCCGCTGGCCCAGCCTACTGGCCCCTTACCAAGCCTGCCTCATCCCCCCTAAGAAGGGCAGTAAGGAGCAGGCGGCCTCCGAGCTCATAGGGCAGCTGTACGACCACATCACAGAGGCAGTGCCTCAGCTTCACGGGGAGGTGCTCCTGGACGACAGGACCCATCTGACCATCGGAAACAGACTGAAAGATGCCAACAAGTTTGGCTACCCCTTTGTGATAATCGCTGGCAAGAGGGCCCTGGAGGACCCTGCACATTTTGAGGTTTGGTGTCAGAACACTGGTGAGGTGGCCTTCCTCACCAAAGATGGAGTCATGGATTTACTGACCCCAGTGCAGACTGTCTAAATGCCCCCAGCCCACCCCTGCCCCCATTTGCAGCCTTGGTGTTCGTTCTAACACTGCATTTTCCTACACCCCTTTCCTGGACTGCTCTCTCCAGAAACAGCACAGCTCATGGAGGGTGAGATCATGTTAGGGAAATCAATTTTTATCTAGTCATTTGTTCAGATTATTTGTATTTAAAGTCATTAACTTGATCCCTTTCTCCAGACTGGCCATGCCGCCATATACCTTTCCTTTTGTATTCCATTGTGGAAGCTTCTAGGAGGCTGAGAAGCAGGAGATCCAAGCTCCAGTCCTGGGTGTTACCCTGAGGGGGGAAGTCACTTCCCTTCTCTCAGCTGAGTTTTTCACGTGTAAGATGAGAATGGCTGATGGCTGAGAGCCCACCAACCTTCCCCACCCCGTATCAGTTTGACCACGGGCCTTTTGCTACATTCTATCCAGAGAGCAGGCCTGCCAGCCCCTCTCCACTGAGAAGTTGGGCTGAGAGTATGGGGAAAAGAATCAAGAGACCTGACTGCCGCCAACTCACTAGTGACTTAGATACATCCCCTCCCCCTGCTGGGGCCTCAGTTTCCCCATCTGTAACTTGAGAAAATAGAACTAGATCTGTAAAGTCTGGAACTAGATCTGTAACGTCCTTATAGGTGTCACTAGGGGGTTCCATGAGAGGTGTGTGACAGGCAGTCTGATTCCTCTCATTCTCCATAGTCTGTTTCCTGGAAAGTCGATGTAATTAACTGATGGCCCAAAAACTACCTCAAGAGACCTGGCCCTGTTAAGACGGCTTAACCACTGAGATCCCGTTCTATTGATTTAATAAAGTCAAACTATTGGAATGGGCCTTGCACATTAATTTGAAACAATGATAACATCTGCCATTTTAACAGTGCAACAGCTTTCTACTCCTTTTCTTTCCTTTTTGACTGTTCCCACACACCCATCCCTAACATAAAAAATCAGGTGGTTAGGAAAATGTGGTTTAAACCATTTCTTCCCCCAAGTATCGGGGCAGCAGGCTTCAACTGCCACGGTGACCTTATCGTAGGTACAGAGTTGGATCCTAGAGCCAAGATGGGGTGAATATTAAGAGCTGGTCTCTTGTGTCCTTAATGTAGAAGCTGGTTTTAAAGAAAAAAAAAAGCTACTCTCTGCCTGAATTGTATGGAAAGATGGAGCAAGCTTGAACTACCCTAGCAATGCCAACTACTTTCATTGCTCCTGCATCTTAGATAAGGAACATAACCAAGTTTTCCATCCTTGGCCCCCTAGGGTCTCTGCATGTCCATATCTGACAAGAATCTGTGAAGACCAAGCTCAAAGCCAGCATCTCCTAAAAAGCTGCCTGGCAGCTCTGAATAGTGGTTTTCCTTCTGCCTCCCACAGCACAGATCACATCCCTTCTTGTTTTGTGCATACACAGCTCATTGTACAGTGGTCCTGCCTCTTGTTGATGGTGAGCTCCCTGAGGCCAGGCCCCTGAGCTAATTCCCAGTGCACTGCAGTTCTTATTTTGGCCAGTGGTTCCACCTGCTAAACAGCCTCCAGGTAGCTTATTACTGGTAGAGCAACCCTGCCTGCCTCTACATAGCATCAGGCTTCCTGTTTTTGTTTTTGTTTTTGTTTTTTGAGACAGAGTTTTGCTCTTGTTGCCCAGGCTGGAGTGCAATGGCGCAGTCTCGGCTCACCACAACCTCTGCCTCCCAGGTTCAAGCGATACTCCTGCCTCAGCCTCCCGAGTAGCTGGGATTACAGGCATGCGCCACCACACCTGGCTAATTTTGTATTTTTAGTAGAGACAGGGTTTCTCCGTGTTGGTCAGGCTGGTCTCCAACTCCCGACCTCAGGTGATCTGCCTGCCTAGGCCTCCCAAAGTGGTGGGATTACAGGCTTGAGCCACCATGCCCGGACAGCATCAGGTTTTCTAATGAATGCGTAGCCAAGCCCTACCAGCTCCCAGCCCTGCCATTGGAGCTCCAGGCCCAGGATTCCTTTGGAATACTTCAGATTTTCAGGCTAGGAGACATGCATTCTGAGAGCAAACCTAGTAAGGCTAGATTACAAGGCAGAGGATCTTACCCTTGCACATTGGAATCACCTGGGTCCCATCCAGAGGGTCTGGTTACATGTAGGGTGTGGCCTGGGCATTGGGAAGTTTAAAGCTTCCCAGCTGATTGTAATGTGCAGTCAAAGTCAATTGAGAGCACCTGGTGCAAGAGCTGCCTCCTCTGGGTCCACTTTGTAGCTGGGCATTTCTTTTAGTAATTTCAGTTGTTCATTATCAGACTGATGTGCGCACTCTGCTTTTAATGGGCTGGCCATTTATTTGTTGAGGATCTGCCATATGCCACTGTGGTGTGAGGCACTTTAAAAAAAAATTTTTTTAAATAGTGGCACGGCACTTTTTGTTTTCTTTAATCAGAAAAATAAGCCCTGCGCTTCTGGGATGGAGGCCCCAGGTGAGTACCGGAGGAAGGGGCTGGGGTGGGTGGGGAGCGAGGGGGCCTAGAGGCCAAAGCAGATGCTGCATCAGAGGCTGGTCAGGACCCGGGAGGGCCTGCGGGGGTGGGGTCCTCGTGAGCAAGTGTGGGGGGCTGGAGGTCAGCAGCTGCCTGGCCTGGGAGCCAGGGACACCCATCCCCTTCCTGACACCTGAGGCGGCCCAGCTGGGCAAGACCAGGCCTGCAGGACCAGGGCCTTCTGTCGCTCGGCGCAGGGGTCCAGGTGGTCAACGCTGCTCTCTGGAGGACCACTGGCTAGAGCCTGCCCAGCTTCCCTGAGGTCTGGAGACAGAGCCCCCCTCAAACACCCCCTCCCTTTTGGGCTAGTGGCGTGCCTCGGACTCCAGAAGACTCGAGTGGGGCTGCCTCGAGACCAGGTCCTGAGGGGGTGGCAACCCCTGACCACAGGTGGGGGCCGTGGAAGGGGCAGGGATGGGCCCAGGGGTAGCCTTGTAGTGTGAGGTGTGCCCGACTGCATGTAGCTCAACAGCCAGACGGGACGCTGCAGGGGACTGTGGGGAAGCCGGGAGAAGGTGCTGCCCACCCTGTGGGGTCCCCCTCGCCTGGAGACCCTGCGGGCAACCCTTCAGTGCATGCCCACAGGGGTGGTGGAGGCAGAGTCCTGAGAGGTGAGGGTGGGAGCCTCCGGGTCCCCTGCAGGTCCTGACCCACCGGATGGGTCCGTGTGCCCCCTGTAGCTTGGGGGCCCTGGAGGTGGACACCAGCACCTCCTGACTACCGGGGGAGGGCCTGGACTGAAACCCACACCTTCACCATTCGCCACTGGGCCATTCTGCAGGAACTGCAGCACCCCACAGATCCTTCATGCCCAGCACGCCACTCACTCTCACACCCTCTCTCGCACGCACACACACACAGCACGCACACACCAGGTTCACGCGCTCCGCACAGGTGGCACGCCGGGGGCAAGCATGCACGTAGACTCAGAGATGCAGGGACAGTATTGGCAATTCAGAGGCACAGAAAGAAGCTGAGGGGCCCCCAGCAAGGTCCCCGCCCTCGGGGGCTGTGTTCCCCAGGGCACGCACACCACAGGCAGCAACGCGGGTGGGGGCACTGTGACGCCAGTCGGGGGAGAGGGAGCATAGCGGGGCGGCAGGCAGATGCGGGTTCATCTCTCCTGTTGTGGTGAGCCTCAGCCTGATCACGGCACTGTAGGGGCTCCCGCCTCTGGCCAAGCCTCAATTTCCAACGACAAACAGCCCAGCCCTGTCTAGACAAGGCCTCAGGCTAGTCTGGCAAAGCATCTCCAGCCCAAAGGGCAAGGCAGCCTTGGCCCTTGAGGCCCTGCCAGGGTGCAGATCACACTGGAGTGGGCTGGAAAACCCATATGGGGTGGTGCCTGCAGGCATCAGAAAAAATTTTTATTTACTTTTATTTTTTAGGGATGGGGCCTCGCTATGTTGCTCAGGCAACAGGTTTCGAACTCCTGGGCTCAAGCAATCCTGCCTCAGCCTCCTGAGTAGCTTGGGACTACAGGTGTGCACCACCCATGGTGGCTAATTTTTTTTTTTTTTTTTTTAAGAGACAGGCTCTCGCTCACTTTGTTGCCCAGGCTGGTCTCCAACTCCTGACTTCAAGCGATCCTCCTGCCTCGGCCTCCCAAAGTGCTGGGATTACAGGTGTGAGCCACCGCACCTGGCCACTGTTAGGCACTTCTATATACCATTTTCAGATTTCACAATTGTGCAAGGCAGATGCTGTTATCTCATTTTACAGATGAGGAAGCATGAGGATCTATTTCAGCAACTTACCCAAGGATGCACAGCTATTATGATCACAGCTAGATTGCAGGCACTGGCCAAAAACTGTCCTTCTCACTACACTGCTTAGCCTCTGCAAAAGTGATTTCAATAAATAAAACTAAATTATGTATATCTCTCTAACCAAGTTAGCCTAAAGTATGCGAGAAATTAGGATTCATGCAAATGGGTGCTTTAAATGTATATATATTTTTTAAGAGACAGCGTTTTTACCTGGGAGCAGTGGCTCAAGCCTGATATCCCAGCACTTTGGGAGGCTGAGGCCGGCAGATCACTTGAGCCCAAGAGTTCAAGACCAGCCTGGACAACATAACCCGGGCATGGTGGCACACACCTGTAGTCCCAGCTACTTGGGAGGCTGAGGTGGGAGGATCGCTTGAGCCCAGGAGGTGGAGGTTGCAGTGAGCTGAGATGGCACCACTCCACTCCAGCCTGGGCGACAGAGCCAGACCCTGCCTCAAAAAATAAAGAGAGGCGGAGTTCTTGCTGTGTTGTTCAGGCTGGACTTAACCCCTGGGCTTAAGCAATCCTTCAAATTCAGCCTCCCAAGTAGTGTGCCACTTTGGCTAAAAAATTTTTATTTTTATTTTTTGGCCAAATAATTTTTTAACTTTAAATATATGCCCCATAAGCTTGCTTGTTTATGGGAGGTTAGCCTAATGTAAGCACTTTTAAAAACCAGATTCCAGGAATAGAGAGCCAGTTAATTTTACTTTTGATTAATGTTCAAGGCCTAGACTGACTTGAGGATGATATAGAATCCTGGAGCTTTAGAGTTTAGGTAAACTTGAAGCTGGCCTTGGCTCTCAGCTGGGAAGTGGGCCTGGAGCAGGAATGAACCTGCCACATGTCATCTGACTCGCAAGACACCCGAGGACAGGACAGGCGCCACTCCTCTCTGGTTGGTCCTGCTGAGTGAAGAGAAGACTGGCTGGATCAACCTTTGAGCTGCCAAAGCTGTGTAAGTTCGTGAAACAGGTGCCCATTCTCTTTATTTTACAATAGGGAGAGAAATACAGGGAGGACATCAATTTGCCCAAGGTCAGGCTGAATGAAACCCAAGTGTCCTGATCAGGAAGCCAGTGTTTCTTCTAGTAGCCAGGGGCAGTGTGATTTGGCGAAAAGATCAGAGCCTTGAAGAGACATAATCCTAGATTCACTTACTGGGGATGTGACCTCAGACAAATTACTTGCCCTGTGTGCCTCTCAGATTCTCCATTGGTGGGACACTCGTGCTAATGGTACCCACCTTGTAAGTGGTTTGGGGGTTGACCAAGCTCACTTATATGAAATGCTTAATTACCCCTTAGTCTGCACTCAGAGACACTTCCCTTACACCAGACGACTTAGGAAATCCCCCCACTGGGAGCTCAGGTTCTGCCGTTAACTTTGTTATCTCAAGACCTGGATCTTGTTTTCTTGATAAGATGCTTGACAACTTTCCTGGGAAATGCCACAGGCAAGAATTAGGAGGCACCTGCAGAATAGCTGTATCTCCTTAGAGAAAAGACAGAAATACTCAAACTGTGTACCTTACTGTCTCATTTCTGAACTTGCCAATTTTACCTCTTGCCATAAATTGATGAAATGGGATGCTGGCAAAATAGCAGGTACAGGCTGTATTATCATTGCTCATTCCTTGGGGAGATCTAGCAGTGACTGCCTGGGAAATATTTAGCAGAATTAATACTTGGGGACAAAGGCTGGTGCATAACAAAACCATTGTGTAAATCAGGCTTAGAATGTAAATCAAGGCCTCCGTTAATATTCTGTGTTTTAATGGAAGAAACACCTGCTGGGCTATCCATAAAGGAGCTTTGCAGAAATCTGTTGAAATTGTCATTTCCTTAACTACTTGAGTGCCAGGTCTCCAGAGTTCCCATGATCCGTTTCCACACCAAGATGCATGAGTGCTTTTTAGAATGGGTTGTTACGCATCCAAGGGCATGTGAGGCTTGTTTTAGAGTTAGGAAAAGGATTTTTAAGTTTCCTTATAACGTGGAAAATGGGAAAATATTTTTATGATGTTATTGCAAACTTAAGTAACACCTGAAAAAAGTCAAGGTATTTTGCTTAATTTAAAATAATGAGGCTGGGCGCACGCCTGTAATCCTAGAGTTTGAGACCAGCCTGGGCCACATGGCAAAACCCCGTGTCTACGAAAAATACAAAAATTAGCTGGGCGTGGTGGCGGGCACATGTAGTACCAGCTGTTTGGGAGGCTGAGGTGGGAGGATGGCTTGAGCCCAGGGCAGAGGTTGCAGTGAGCCAAGATCCTGCTACTGTATTCCAACCTGGGCAACAGAGAGAGACCCTGTCTCAAAAATAAAATTAGAATAAAAGGCTTATAGTGACCCCAGCTACAGACTCTGGAGTCAGACTGTCTGGGCCACTCACTATCTCCGTGACATTTGTGCAAGGTACTTCCTCATAGTCCCTCCACTTCAGCTTTCTTATCTGCAAAATGGGGATAACAGTGCCTGGCCCACAGCAGAGGCTTGGCAAGTGGAGCTGCCTGTATATTAAGTGGTACTTTGCACAGAAGGTAGGTGGGTGGTGCACTATGGCCAGCAGAACGGGGTGGCAACTTTAAGCACCATCCCGGTGCAGGGATTCCCGTCAAGCCAGCAGTGCCCAAGGCTGCTAATGAGCCCCTGTGGTTAAAGCTTAAGTGCCCTTAGCTAATCAAAACTGTGTAGGGCCAGGAGAGTGAAAAGGTGGCACCAGTTCATGGTAACTCAGGATGCCCGTTTTCCAGGGCAGCACTTGCTGCCAAGGCTTGCCAAGAAAAGCTTATAGGGTGATGGGAGCCCCATTGGCAAGGTATTGGGTGCTATGGGGATTCGACGGTGGGCTCTGGCAGGGGTTTCCACAGACTGAATTCTTCTACCCGGGCAGACAGGATGGGGACACTGCATGACACAGTGAGTGCTAAGACTTTACCGTAAGCTTGGACTGAGCAAGGCAAGGGCAGCTGGGTCTACCGCAGACTCCTTAAAGGCAGAGGGCTGGTCTCGTTAATATCGATATCTCCTGAGGGGCTTACTTTCAAGAGCCTGAATTCAAGTTCTGGCTCTACTTTTCATTAGCTAGCTGACTTTGGACAAGTTACTTAACCTCTTCACATCACTTTTCCTGTCAGTAAAATGGGGCTATAAAGCTACCTGCCTTCTAGAGGTGTTGAGAGGATTAAGTGAACCGATCCAAATAAAGCACCAAGAATGTTGCCTGGCATATCCTATGTGCTCAAGAGGTGGCCACTGCTATTACTGAGCCAGGCCAGCACAGGCACTACCCCTGGAATATGCCAGAAGGCCCTCCCACCCCCCAATTCCTTCTTCAACTTCATGACCCAAGTCCATCATATGTGGTGGCTTCCATCCCTGATCTGTTCAGAATTAATCACTCCTTGCTCTATATCATCAGCTAGTAATAATTTGTTGTGCATCTACTATGTGCTGAGCAGGTGCAGTAGTAGCCCCTGGCATTAGAAAGTGCACAGCTCAGGGTCCCTGACTCAGTTTACAGAGTGGGAACCATCAAGTAAACAACAATGCACTGTGGTGCAGGTGCCATGGGGACATGTGGGATAAGCAGACAGAGAGGGCTTCCTGAAGGAGGCAGTTGGGCCTGATTGAAGGCTACGTGTTAAATAGTGAAGGGAGGAACAGTTGGGGGTGGAAGGAGGGGAACAAGTGGAAGGAAGAATGGTCCCAGAAGAGAGAATAGGATGAACAAAGGCCCAAAGCCCAGAGGAGCATGACAAGGTTAGGGAATAGAAAATAACAATGTCATAGATTGAACACGTACTTTGAGGCAAGCTGTGTTCCACATGCTTCATGCGGATTAATGCATTTAATCCACATAACACCTGCATGAGGTAGGTGCTGTTATCCTGCTCATGTTGCAGATGAGGAAACTGAGGCACAGAGAGCCTAAGCAAAGTGCTCAAGGCCTCCTCCAGCTAGTAAGCTTTGAGGCTGGAATTGGGATGCAGGCGCCTGGCTCCACAGCCAATCAATACTCAGCCACTGCACCCTCCTGCCCCATAGCTGAACCATTCAGGATGGCTGGGCTAAGGAGGTCAGAGAGTGGGAGCTGTAGAGGTGGTGAGGGCCCAGATCCTGAACGGCCTTGAATGCCACACCAAGAGCACTGATGAGGGAAGGGAGAGTCACTGGGGGCTCAGAGCAGGGCTGATGACAGACTTGCTTGTTGTGGCTGTATTTCTCTTCACTGGAGCAGTTCCCAGACCATTCGATTTATTGCATCCATTTAACAGCATAACCTTGAAGGCAGAGGCTGTTTGATGCACTTCAGCCTCGATGCTCTGCTCGTGGCAGGTGCCACATAAATGTTCGTAAAGCAAACGGAATAGGGAACACAAGAGGAGGAAGGCGGGCTCTGGAGTGAGGTGAGATGAGATGAGAACCAGTGAGTGAGGTGCTTGGGTTCGGTTCCTGGCTTGGCACTCATTAGTGGGATGACTGTGTGCCTCCATGTCCTTATTTATAAAATTGGACAACAGACCTGAGAAGGTGGCCGTTGGGATTAAATAAGAGAATCCAGGTACAGTGGTTAGCACGGTACCAGAATTCAATGTCAACAGCGTCTTTCCTTGCCTGCCTGCAGTGTATTTCAGGGGGCTTTGTCCCCATGCCCACTTCTTCAGCTGCCACCCCAAATCCATAGAGGTAACCAGACAGAAGTCAGGTGGTCCCACCTCTATCACCGACCCCCTGGCCCTGAGAAGGAAGGGTGGCACTCCACTCCAGGGATGGCGGGTGCAGGAGGCTCTGCCCTGTGGTCAGGTGTGCTGATGTGAGTGCAGGTGCCTTGGCCTGGTTCTCATCGATGAGGCAGGGGAGGTTGGCTCTGCCAGAGTCCCAGGCGTGGGCACGGTGGCGGGGGAGGCCCACATCTCCTGCAGGGAGCATTGGCCTTGCTCCTTGTTCTGCCAGCCCCCGGAGAAAGGGAAGCCCCCAGGGCCCTTCACCTGGCTCACCCTGGCTCCTGGAAACACGCTGCTGCCGCAGCAGGGCCTAGGCTCTGTGCCTGCCGTAAGCAACAGGACCCTCCTGCACTGCGCTCAAGCCAGCCACAGCTGGGGCTCCCGCCCGGCCCAGTTCTAGTCCTTCCCTCTGCGGGCTCAGGGCAGAGGGAAGCCCTGCACTTTCTGTGGGCAGGAACCAGAATGCCAGGTGCAGCTGTACCACCTCAACTCCCCCCCACCCAGGGCTCCCCAGTCTGTGCTGGGTCCAAAGTCCTGGCAACCAGAATAGATGGATAGCAGGGGCCAAAGAAGGCAGAGCCCATGGGCTGGGAGGCCAAGAGTCTCCCTGGAGGAGATGTAAGGTGGTCACGTTGGGCTTGAGCCTGGGAATGCTGTTGCTGATGCTCGTGTGTGCAAGTGGGGGCCTGGGAACAGGGCACTGGCTTATTTTACTCTTTCATTCGTTAGTTCCTTCGTTGGTTCATCCATCCATCCACTCAGCACACTCACACGCATGGAGCTTCCACCATGTGTCAGGCGCTGGGCACTCAAATGAATCCCTATCTGGCCCCTGCCCACTAAGCGCTCACCTGCTGTAAGGGGAGGCAGACACCTGGACATCTGGGTGCCATGCAGTATTACAGGGGCAGGTCAGATGGAGGGTGACGATGGGAGTGTGTGCATGTCCATCAGGGAGGGCCAGCTCTACCAGCAGGCAGGGGAAACGTCCTAGTGAAGGTACCCTTTGGACTTCTCTGAAAATAGGTAGGTTTTTGGCAGGTAGACCAGGCAGGGGAAGGACATTCCAAGTAGAGGGAACTGGAGCAAAGGCATGGACATATGAAGCATCTGGTGTGTTGCAGGCACTGTAATCAGGTTGATGTGGGCAGTTGGGGGGAAAGCCTGGAGAGGCCAAGGTTTGGGCAGAGCCAGGGTATGTGGGTGGACTGCTGTTAGGTGGCAGAGGCAACCCCTCACCCCATTGGCTGAGGATTCAGCTCTAGGGCTCATTCTGGGCCTTTAAAGCAGCAGGAGTACCTATGGAGAGATTGCTGGTGGCAGGTGTCCTTGGACAGGGAGCCTGCAGAACTCATCAAGACCCTGCATCTGGTTTTCCTTGCCATCTTCTGCGGCATGCAGATCTGGGTGATATTTCTTTCAGGCATGTCTCAGGGAAGGGACTTGTCCAGCCCATGACTTTGGCTGGGTTCCTAGGGTTGTTGAGCACTACTTATTGCATGCCAGGCATTAAGTAAAGGTACTGAATATATTGCACCGCCTGGAGGCATTGCAGCACTCCCTAACCCCCCATATTTGGCAGTATTTTTGCCCAGATTTACAGATGATCAAACTGAGGCTCAGGGTGATTAAGTGACATGCACACAGCCTTTATGTAGCAGAGCCAGAGTTCAAACCGGTATCTGTTGGATATCAAGAACCATGCTGTCTCTCATGCAAAGGAATAGAAAGAAAGGAAAAAAAACCACAACCCATGCTGTCTGTGGGCTAGAACACTACTTTTCTGGTGAGGACTTATGCTACATGCTGTTTAAAAGGAATAATAAGCCTTACAGGATCTAGTATATTGTTCCCAGTTTTTAGATAGAAAAACCAAGGCCCAGAGAGGGCAGGGACTTGCTAGGATTAGGCAGTCCCTGGGCGCTGGCCCTGTCAGCAGGTCCTAGGGCTCCTGCCTTCTATCCAGGACACTCTAAAACAGGGAAGGACAGGTCAGTGGCTCACGCCTGTAACCTCAATGCCTTGGGAGGCTGAGGTGGGAGGATCACTTGACGCTAGGAGTTTGAGACCAGCCTGGGCAACAGGCAAGACCCCATCACTACAAAAAAAATTTTTTTTAATTTTTTTAATAAAAATAAAGAGGCAGGACCCTTTTCAGTCTGGCTATGCCTCTGGAATCCAGGATTTCTAGAGATGACTCCTGAGGGCTGAGTCCACTTGTGGAGAGGCCCACCCTTCATGGGGCCTTAGAGCCATGGCAGTTCCTCATCTGGGGTCAAGTCAGGGGAGAAGCATCCTAGGCAAAGAGTTGTCCTATAGAGCAGCGGTCCCCAACCTTTTTGGCACCAGGGATCAATTTGGTGGAAGACCATTTTTCCACAGGATGGGGGAGGAAGGTGGTTTTGGGATGAAACTGTTTCACCTCAGATCATCAGGCATTAGATTCTCATAAGGAGCGTGCAACCTAGATCCCTTGTGTGTGCAGTTCACAACAGGGGTCACACTCCTATGAGAATTTAATGACGCCACTGACCTGATAGGAGGTGGAGCTCAGGTGGTAATGCTTTTCTGCCCACCACTCAACTGCTGTGCGGCCTGGTTCCTAACAGGACATGAACTGCTACCAGTCCACGGCCCAGGGGTTGGGGACCCCTGCAATAGAGTGCCTGATACCCATAACAACCAATGCTTACTAAGCACCTACTGTGTGCCAGGTGCCAGCCATTTAATCCTCAAAACAATCCTGAGAATATATTATTAAATTTCCTTATATATAAGGAAACTGAGGCACAAGGTGGTTATGAAACTTGCCCAGAGTCACACAGCTATTAAGTGGCAGAACTGGGCTTTGAACCCTGGCCCTTGGGTTTGAGAGTTCGTGCTCTTAACTATTATGTTCCAACTGCCTTGGACTATCAGCATCCACAGACCCTGGATGTAGATGGGCCCTGCGGGGAGGGTAAAGAGGGGCCCTGGGCCCACCAGTCACTTCTAGTCACTGATACTGCACGCACCATGTCCCATGGCCTTTGTGGGAAAGCAGCTTACCTTGGCGAATTCTGGGCTCCATCCAGAGCAGGATCTTCCCCTTCTGCTTCCACATCGGCTCTGCCTACACCTTCTACAACCTGGTGTTTTGTCATGTGCCAGCCAAGGGAGCTTGACGAGGAGGCCACTTTGGTATGCAGGCCCTTTGCCCTCCTGGCCCTGCCTGTACTCTGGCTGCCACAGCTTTGGAAAACCCCTCTGGGCATACCACTCCCTGAGCCAAACGCATCCATGGCTGCCCAGGGTGTATGGAACAAACACCTGGGCCCACGATCAAGGAAGGCTGCACCTCCTGCCACTGGCCCATCTCTTCTTTGCTCCAGCATTATCACACTCACTAGTCCTCAGACATGCCAGTGAGGCACCACCACATTCTTGGAGTACCTGTGTGCTCGGCTCTGAGGGGTATTGCGAGTACAGGCACCAGATGCAGGCCTGGTCCTCAAGGAGCTCACAGTCTGGTGGGGCAAAGGGGTAGGAAGTCCTGCGAGTGGACAAAGATGTCGGGAGCCACACCTGGGGAGGGCAGAGGGTCAAGGAAAGGCTTCCATGTCCTTGCCTATGCTGAGCCCTCTGCCAGGAATGCTCAGCTTGGGCCTCTTCATCCCTGAACTCCAGTTTAGGTCACCTCTGGGAAGCCTTTTCTAAGCTCCCCCACACCCCATCAGGATCAGTCACTCCTACCTCTGCTCAGCTAAAGGGGGCTTGGGCCCTCTTTGTGCACCCTCATTTCATATTGGTTGGTTTCCACATCACTCTCCCTGATGGCCTGGGAGCTCCTCAAGGGCAGGGCCCAGGGTGGGAGCTGACCCAGAGCCAGCTTCAGTGAGGCTTGTGACTAAATGACAGAAGCAAGTAGGTCTCCCCAGCCTGGTGTGGCCGGAAATATCCAACAACCTCCACAGCAGTGGGTGGCGAGGCAGTTCTGCCCAAGAGTTAGAGTACCCTTGGTACCCGATGGACTGGAGGTGTCCTTGATTCCAGGGGTCGTAAACAGGACCCTCTGCCCTCCCCAGGTGTGGCTCCCGACATCTTTGTCCACTCGCAGGACCCCTTTGCCCCACAAGACTGTGAGCTCCTTGAGGACCAGGCCTGCATCTGGTGCCTGTACTCCCAATACCCGTAATTCTTAAGAAATTACGCCCTGCAGCCTGCGGCAAAGCCTTTTCACATGCAGTGTCTTGAGTTGCTGCTCCCACTGCCTCCTGATGGAGGACAGACAGGAGCATTTCACTGTAATACTGAGTGCAGCTACTATTATTAACATCATTTGGCAAAAGATTCTGGGGCTCAGAGAGGTTACAAAACTCACCCGAGGTGCCTGTCATGGTGGGAGACCATAGCAGGAGGGTCGTGCCCTAACCTTTTCTCTCCTGTCATGCTTTTGCCGGTCATCTTGTGTGTGTGTGTGTGTGTGTGTGTGTGTGTGTGTGTGTGTGTGTGGCCATGGCCATGTTGAATGCCCAGTGGTTTGGGCAGATAACATTGGACATCATGGGTGACATGCATCTCAATGAATAGAGCTGTGGCCTAGGCCACAACATCGGCCCCTTCTCCAGGAAGTCCTACACTCGTTACCAAGTCTTGCTACCAGGAACTCTGCAGCTAGCTCCCACTACCATCGCCTCTCACCTCTGCAACCTGGGCTGCACCTGCAATGGCCTGAGCCTGTACTACCTGGCCATGCTCCTCTCCACACTCTGGTCCCACGTGGCTTTCTCCCAAGCGAGCCTCTGGCCCTGCTGGGGGAGGGGGCTCCCTTGGCAAGCCTCCTGTGCTGAACAGGTCCCAAATCCACATTCAAGGTTCCTAAACCCAGAATGTAGAACTGCAGGAGGTCTTAGGGCTCTCTCCAACCCTCTCTATAACACACGGCAAGTAGATGCGCATAATGTGACAGAGCTTGCTCCAGGCCACACAGCTGGGCCATGTAAACTGCTTCTGTCTGCTTGAGGTCAGTGAGGAGGCTGACATCCACTTTCCCAATTGACCTAGGGTTCACGGTAGGCCCATTTCTAGCCACAAAGGCTTCTCCCCAGCTGCAGACACACCATGGAGCTTACGTGTCCACAACACAGTGGTGTTCCGGGCCCCATCCCCTCTGGCTTGTCTGCAAGGACTGCCCACTAGGTTTTGGCCATAAGGGGCCAGGCTCTGTTTCCCGTGTCAGGGATGGGGATGAAAAAGGGCTGCAGGAAGAACACAGCAAACGTTCAGGCCTTCATTCCCCTCCATCTGACAGAGGTTCACAGAGAAGCAACGTCATGTGGCCCACATGATGGCTCAGGGCAGGGTCAAGACTCCAGGCTCCCGCGTGGCTAATAGTACTTGAATACAGGATCAGGTCTCAGCAGGGGCAGAGTTCTCTCCTTTTCCCATCCCTATGTGCTAACAATCCCTAAAATTACTTTCTCAGTCTCTCCTAGGTCTAACAGCAGAGAGTGCACAAAGGACCTCATGTCCATCAGCCTCCCGGTCCTCAGGCCCTTAAGTTACCAAAACCAGGCCCCCAAGTGGTCCTCAGGTCCTTAAGTGGCCAAAACCAGGAGTAGGAAGGAGGCTGAACTTCAGCTTCCTAGCCACAAGCCACAGACAGGGACCGGCACCTGGAAGCTGCATGGTTCTTTGTAAATATTCCACAGCCAATTTCCTTTCAAAGACAGTGAGGCACACTACACAAAACTCTAAATTAGTCTACTTTTTTTTTGGTTTGTGTTTGAGACAGAGTTTTGCTCTTGTTGCCCAGGCTGGAGTGCAATGGCACGATCTTGGCTCACTGCAACCTCCGCCCCCCGGGTTCAAGTGATTCTCCTGCCTCAGCCTCCCGAGTAGCCGGGATTACAGATGCCTACCACCACGCCTGGCTAATTTTTGTATTTTTAGTAGACACGGGGTTTGCTATGTTGGTCAGGCTGGTCTCGAACTCCTGACCTCAGGTGATCCACCCACCTCCGCCTCCCAAAGTGTCGGGATTACAGGCGTGAGCCACCGCACCCAGCCTCAAATTAGTCCACTTTTAAGGACAGCAGCTGGCTTCAGTTTACTCATGTATTAGCTCTGCTATAGTAACAACCAACCCCTAAATCTCACTGCTTACTACAGCAAACATTGCTCTCTCATTGCTGTGACACTCAGTGGCTGCAGGCCAGCTGCTGTAGCTCGGCTCCATGGAACGGCTCCTCTGTGGGAAATGTGTTCTCACAGCAGAGGGAAGAGCACAGGCCAACCACACATGACTCTTCAGGCTTCTGTCAGACGCAGGACAGCTCATGCCTGTGCATATCCCTCTGCATTGGGAGCAGGGAAGTACACTCTCCCGGGGGGATGGGGTGGGGGCACTGCAAGAAGTCACACAGCTACAAGTCAGGATGGATAAACTCCTCTTAGGAATGGGGCAACAAACAGCTGCAGACAAAAATATACTCTGTAACAACCCAACATGCTAGAAGATTTTCCAGTTTAAAAGACACAAAATCCTAAATGTCAAAACTGCAGAGGAACTCAAGAGGCCACTGTCCAAAGTCTGTCACAGTCCTCCATATGGCAAAGATGAAGAAAATTGGCAATCTTTTTAGGGGTACCAAGGATCTGAGTTTGTACGGTCTTTATAAATGCAGAGCAAGATGTGGCTTTCCTGCCCCCATTTCACCTCAAGGCATCTTCAGCAACCCCACATGGCTTCCCTCTGTGCGCATGAAATAACTTGAGGCCAGGGTCTCTCAGCTTTAAAGCCTTGGAATCCTATGCATTGTTTGTTTGTGTGTAGATGTGCAGTTTGAGGGGTAGCTTCTCTAAGGTGTCAAACTCCACAAAAGTTCAGAATCATGTCACTGGATCCTGAGTCCATCTCCACAGACCAGGGTGCCGCTCAGGTCAGTTGCTGTGGTAACTGCAGCAGATGGTCCCTTTAGCGATGGAGTCCAAGGACATCATGGCCAAGACCCAGAGTTTTATATCAACTGAGGAAAGTGAAGACCAGCCAGAGAGGCTGCAGTTTAGGGAAGCCAGAGGCTCCTCCCCCACCACGATGCCAGGAAGGACTATCCCCAGGGTGACGGAAAGAAAGCACTGGACTCCAGCAGTATGTCCAGCTGATTCAGGTGTGCTAGGTTCCCAGCAGAGGAGGGTAAGGGAGGAGATCCAGGGGCCCTGGCTTAGTCATCGTATCTGGTACACCTTTCTCCCCCGGAGAAAATTCTTGCAAAAAGGAGAGGATCCTACACAGACCAAAAATGCTGGTGTCAGGGCTTTTACAAAGTACCTGCCGTGAACACAACAAAAGAGAGGGTGTTAATTTAATTACAATCTTAACCATCCATGCACCTTCCTAACAACATGCAAGGTGAGCCTCTGGATGGGAGTCAACATGAAAATGCAAGTTTAGCACAGTTATGTGGTTGTTCATAAATCTGGCAAATTAGCATGACATTCTCATCCTTACAACCTAGCCAGAACCTTTAGGCCAGTCCTCTGGCATCATGCATGTCTGTGGCTAAATATGAAATAAAAATATAAAGCATGGTTTTATTCATTCATTCAACATTCAGTGGTAAGCCAGGCCCTGTGCTGAAAACACAGAGATTAAAAAACCAACACCCACACACCATCATCTTTGTTCTCAAATTCAGTCCTGGAGGGGAGGGAGATGAGGAACCAATTAATGACAGCAAGGCACAACTGCAGAAGCATTTGTGAGGCGCAGCATTATCCCAAGGAGGCACGATTCCCTCTATGAGGAAGGGAATCAAAAAAGGCTTCCTGGAAGATGCCATGTCTGAACTTGGCTTTAATTTGGGGAAGGGGTGGTGATGGGGGTTGGGGAGCAAAAGCCAGGAGGTGCAAGTAACCAGAATGTTTGCTGTGGCTAGGGCACAAAGCAAAAGGAGTCAGGCAGGCTAGAGAGGCAGGGAGGGCTTTGGCCTCCCAGGGATAGGGGTGTTGTATTACTCAGTGGGCCTGCTTTGGGACAGAGGGCCTATTTCGTGGCTCCACCCAGTTTAGGGTCTGAAGTTGCCAGAAACCAGTCCTGGGTAGGCTCTTGCCTATGGTAATAATTTTAAAGGTAGTAACTTCCAACAGCATTTACATTTTCTGAGAAGCATGAAACGGGTTTCCTCCAAGCATCGGTCTGCTTTCTATTTAGATTTCTCCTCTGGGGTAGGGCAGAACTCAGGCCTTTAAAGAATTCTGGGTAATTTGCTAACAACTGAGAAAATGAGCAGCTAAAAATGTGTCCAAAAACTAGAAGAAGAGAGATTTGGGACCAGAGCAAAACACCACCAAAGGTATCAATCAGATCTGGAAAAACCTTTCCTTCCTGCCTACCAAGCCAAAGCATTAAGACTAGCTGGACACCCCTATCACATCACTCAACACTACACCAGCTCCCATCCAATCTACCTCCTAAACCTCTAATCCACCTCCTCCTACTTCAGGCCTCACCACTGAACAGTACACTTCAAATCTTTACATTACTCTGTAATTTTTTTGGGTAGTGGGAGGAGGGGGTCTCACTCTCACCTAGGCTGGAGTGCAGTGGTGTGATCATAGCTCACTGCAGCCTTGAAATGCTGGGCTCAAGCAATCTTCCTGCCTCAGCCTCCCAAATAGCGAGGACTACAGGTGCACAACACCATAAAAAAGATTTCTATAGAGACGGGATCTCGCTGTGTTTCTCAGGATGATCTCTAACTTCTGAGCTCAGGTGATCCTCATGCCTTAGCCTCCCAAAATGCTGGAATTATAGGTATGAGCCACTGTACCCGGCCTATTCTGTACATCTTTTAAAATCTTTTTAATTTTTAAAAATCAACCCTGGTGTACACCACAATCAGGATAAAGTTTACGCTCCTTAGCAGGGCATTCAGGCCTTCGTGTATGGCCCTAACTTAGCTTTCTAGCCTCATTTCCTACCACATCCAACCACTCTCTTTACACTAATACATTGGGCTCTTTTAGCTTAAGTGCAAAAGCATCTGCTTTTCTCTGCTTTGCTTTGCTCAAAGCTTAAGGAAAAGTAGTCCAAGAGTCAATTTGCAAATCTGCTGAGGGCTTTCCCTTATAGTCCAGGAACACCTCACAGCTTCTCTGAGACAACTGCCAAATCCAACTTGCTGCCACTGCTAATGACAAAGATGCCCTCCTATAGCAGGACTGCCCTGTGCAGTTTACAACAGCACTTCAACTCCTATCCTGTCATTGGCTCTCAAATACTTGAGAAATGTGTAGGCATGTATTACTCCCATTCCAGAGATGAGGCGGCAGTCCCAGAGAGGCAGCGTGTGCTTGGAGTCACACAGCCAGTAAATGATGATGGGTCTGACTTCAAGAGCCAATGCTTTCTTCATATGACAGTATCAGGAGCCGGGTCACTGGCATGCACTTGATATTCCAGCTACCTGGGAGGGTGAGGCAGGAGGACTGCTTGAACCCAGTTCAAGACCAGCCTGGAGAAGATACCCTGTCTCTATTATAAAAATAATTTAAAAAAAAATTTTAGGGGCTGGGTGTGGTGGCTCACATCTGTAATCTCAGCACTTTCGGAGGCTGAGGTGGGTGGATTGCTTGAGCCCAGGAGTTCAAGACCAGCCTGGCCAACATGGTAAAACCCCATCTCTATTTAAAAAAAAAAAAATTCAAAATAAGAAAAAGCAAACAAAAGAAAGAGCATCAGGAGACATAGGTATAGGTACGATTAGGAAAAGGAAGGCTGGCCGGGTGCAGTGGCTCGCCTGTAATCCCAGCACTTTGGAAGACCGAGGTGAGTGGATCACCTGAGGTCAGGAGTTTGAGACCAGCCTGGACAACATGGTGAAACCCCGTCTCTACTAAAAATACAAAAATTAGCCAGGCATGGTGGCAGGCGCCTGTAATCCCAGCTACTCAGGAAGCTGAGGCAGGAGAATCACTTCAACCTGGGGGGTGAGGTAGAGGTTGCAGTGAGCCAAGATCGCACCACTGCACTCCAGCCTGGGTGACAGAGCGAGATGTCGTCTCAAAAAAAAAAAAAAGGCCATCCTAGCAGCCTTCATGTACAAAAAGCCAGGCAGCTTTTCCCTTCAAAGACCAGTCCTATTTATCTCCCCTGGTCTGGAGTGTTATGGCTGTGGTGCAGTGGGCTATCATCACACTGGAGCCTGTTTGACCAATGGCTGAGTTTTATGGGCCCGGCCAGTCTCCATGGCTGCTGTCTCACACAGCTCTGTGCTCAGGGCAGAAGGGAGGGGAGTATGAGGCAATCAGTCAGCAGCGGAATGAGAACCTGGCTCTACTCCTCGGATGGTGCCTGAGTGATATGGTTTGGCTCTGTATCCCCAACCAAATCTCATCTTGTAGCTCCCATGATTCCCATGTGTTGTGGGAGGGACCCGGTGGGAGATGACTGAATCATGGGGGTATGTCTTGCCTGTGCTGTTCTCGTGATAGCGACTAAGTCTCACGAGATCTGATGCTTTGAAAAATGGGAGTTTTTGACCGGGAGTGGTGGCTCATGCCTGTAATCCCAGCACTTTGGGAGGCCAAGGCAGGTGGATTACCTGAGGTCAGGAGTTCAAGACCAGCCTGGCCAACATGGTGAAACCCCGTCTCTACTAAAAATACAAAAGTTAGCCGGGCGTGGTGGCAGGTGCCTATAATCCCAACTACTCAGGAGGCTGAGGCAGGAGAATTGCTTGAACCTGGGAGGTGGAGGTTGCAGTGAGCCGAGATCACACCATTGCACTCCAGCCTGGGCGACAAGAGCAAAACTCCATCTCAAAAAAAAAGGGAGTTTTCCTGCACAAGCTCTCTCTTTTTGCCTTCCGCCATCCACGTAAGAGGTGACTTGCTCCTCCTTGCCTTCTGCCATGATTGTGAGGCATCCCCAGCCACGTGGAACTGTGAGTTCTCCACTAAACCTCTTTTCTTTATAAACTGACCAGTCTCAGGTATGTCTTTATCAGCAGTGTGAAAATGGACTAATACACTGAGCATCTTCCCCAATCTACTCAGCGCCATGAGATGACTCACCTCTGGTGCTGTAGAACCTGTAGCAAGGTGCTCTTGGCAGGCACCCGGTATAGTTCTGCCCTGTCCTCATCCTCAAAGTAGACCTGCAAGATTAACAGAAGGGCAAGAGTCAGAGATAAAGGCTTCGGCAGCCTTAGTTGAGGCTAAGCCCAGGGAAAATTAAAAAGATGGCAACGGTTAGTAGTTGAATGCCTCCTTTATATGGTTGTGTAGCTGGGTGCTTTGCATTTAGTACCCCCCCGCCATGCCACTGTAAAAGAGGCTATTATCAGTTCCATCTTCCAAAGACAGAATCAAGGCTCAGAGAAGAACAACAACTTGCCAACATTACCCTGCTGGTAAACAGAAGAATCAAGACTCAAGGCCAGGCCTATGTAGCCCTCCTTTCCCTAACAAATCAGACTAAAGCCATCAGGTATGTGGAGGAGAAAGCTATGGTGGCTCAGAGAAGGAAAGAGCCTGAAGAAGGAGAGAAGGATGTCTGTGCAGGGTGTCAAAGCCCAAGCAGGGTGAGGAAGACGCCTGCACAGGAAGCTCCCGGGGGTGTCAGAGCAGGACCAGTGAAGAAGAGCATCCATGCTGGGGGCCAGCAGGCCTGAGCAGGGGAAGAAGTGCTCCCTTGTAAGATGGCTGTCCAAGGTGGGGTGTCAGAGGCCATGTGGGGTGAAAAGGGTATCCATGCATGGGGACAAGTAATATGGAGTTTACAGGCCCAACTAGGGTGAGGAGGGTGACCACTCATGGCAGGGGGTGGCCTGCTGTAGGGTGTCAGAGCCCAAGCAGGATGAGGAGGATGTCCATGTAGGGTCGTTGAGCAGTGTGGGATGTCAGAGTCTGTGCGGGGTGAGAAAGACGCCCACGCTGGGGCAGCAGCGTAACATGTGGAGTCAAGAGTCCAAGTAGGGTGAGGAAGGCTCCACATAGGAGAGGGGCCAGTGGTGATGACAGGAGGGGAACTGATCAAACAAATAACTATATTAAGAATAATAAAGTCAGGCCAGGCATGGTGGCTTATGCCTGTAATCTGAACACTTGGGAGGCTGAGGCAGGTGGATCACTTGAGTCCAGGAATTCAAGACCAGCCTGGGCAACATGGTGAAACCTCATCTCTACTAAAAATACAAAAATTAGTTGGGCACGGTGGCAAACGCCTGTGGTCCCAGCTACTTGGGAGACTGAGGTGGGAGGATTGTTTGAGCCCAGGAGGTTGATCTTGGCAGTGAGCCAAGATCTCCCTACCGCACTCCAGCCTGGGCAACACAGCTAGACTCTGTCTCAAAAAAACAAAAACAAAAAAAGAACAAGAAGAAAGTCATTGTTACAAATATAGAAAGGGAGAAAAAATCCTGTGGATGTTGAATTAAGAGTTGGAGATACCAATGAGACTTCATGGTCTCTCTCTCTCTCTCTCCTCTCTCCTCTCTTCTCTCTCCTCTCCTCTTCTCTCTCTCTCTCTCTCTCTCTCTCTCTCTCTCTCTCTCTCTCTCTCCTTTCTTTCTTTCTCTCTCTTTCTCCCCCAAGCTGTGGCACTGAGAAGGCATTGAGGCAGTAAGCTTGCCTCTCTACCCCCATTGTATTAATCGATACACTTATACACTTATTGCACAGAGATCTCGGCTTCTAAATACCATTCTTCACTAGAAAGAACCAGGGCTTCTTGGGAAAAAATAGCTAATTCCAGAGCTGGGGCAAGGAAAGCGCAATCTGAACCTAGAACATCCTATGTAAGAAAGCAACCACTTAAAAAATAGACACAAGTCAAAAGGACACAGAAACAAATTTGAAGAGATTCCCACTGGCCAAATCTGGGATATTCTGAGCATAAAAGAAACAATCATAGTAACAGATTAAAACTCATTAAATGAAACAGGAAACTATAAATCCACCAATATAAATAAATATGTTGAATATCTGACGAGCAATGGGATATTTACACCATTTCAAAGCATCTCCCTATAAAACACTTATTAATCATAAAGAAAAAGTAACTGTACAGTGGAGAAGGCTGGCAGACCCCACCTCAATCAGGTGATCAGAGTGAACATCATGAGTAATGGGACAAATGGAGATTATGTACCATCTGATAGGTGCAATGAGAATACAGCATCACTTCTGTAATATTCCAGCCAAATATGCATAATCCAGGCCGGGCATGGTGGCTCACACCTGTAATCCTAGCACTCTGGGAGGCCAAATCGGGCAGATCATTTGAGGTCAGGAGTTTGAGACCAGCCTGGCCAACACGGCAAAACCCCATCTCTATTAAAAATACAAAAAATTAGCTGGGCGTGGTATCTGAGTAGCTGTAATCCCAGCTACTCAGGAGGCTGAGGCAGGAGAATCGCTTGGACCTTGGAGGCAGAGGCTGCAGTGAGCCGAGATCACACCATTGCACTTCAGCCTGGGCAACAAGAGCAAAACTCCATCTCAAAACAAACAAACAAGTATGTATAATCCAAATCTAGTCAGAAGGAAACATGAGACAAACCCATACTGACAGACATTCTACAAAATAAGTGGTCTGTAATCTTCAAAGTGTCCTGCAGTTGAGTCACAGGATCACAAAAATATGAATAAAAATTTTTTAAGTAAAAAAAAAAAGTGGAGGAAAGACTGAGGAGCTCTTCCATACTGAAGGAGACTAAGGGGACATGATCACTAAATACAGTATGTGATTCTGAACAAAACCCTTTTGCTATAAAGAATTTGTGAAACCTGAATGGAGTCTGAGGGTTAGATGGTAACAGTGAATTAATGTAAATTTCCTGCTTTGATAGCTATATGGGTATTATAAAGAAAAATGTCCTTTTGTGTAGGAAATACACAGTAAAGTATTCAGGGGTAATGGGACATCAGCTGGCATCCTACTCTCAAATGTTAGAAAAAGGTAATTCTTTATACTGGATATTGTGATTTTTTATTTAAAAAATCCCAACAATGGAATGTTATTCAGCCTTAAAAAGGAAAGAAATTCTGGCTGGGCACGGTAGCTCACACCTGTAATCCCAGCACTTCTGGAGGCCAAGGAGGGCGGATCACTTGAGGCCAGGAGTTCAAGACCAGCCTGGCCAACATAGCAAAACCCCATCTCTACTAAAAATACAAACAAAATTAGCCAGGCTTGGTGGCACATGCCTGTAATCCCAGCTACCTGGGAACCGGAGGCATGAAAATCACTTGAACCAAGAGGCAAGGTTGCAACGATCTGAGATTGCACCACAGCACTCCAGCCTAGGTGACAGAGCGAGATTCTGTCTCAAAAAATAAAAATAAATAAAAAGGAAAACAATTCTGGTTGGGCATGGTGGCTCACACCTATAATCCCAGCACTTTGAAAGGCGGAGGTGAGTGGATCACTTGAGGTCAGGAGTTCGAGACCAGCCTGGCCAACATGGTGAAACCCCATCTCTACTAAAAATACAAAACTTAGCTGGGTGTGGTGGCACGCGTCTATAATCCCAGCTACTCAGGAGGCTGAGGCAGGAGAATCGCTTGAACCTGGGAGGCAGAGGTTGCAGTGAGCCAAGATCGCACCACTGCACTCCAGCCTGGGTGAAACAGCGAGACTCCGTCTCAAAAATTTAAAAAAAAAAGGAAATTCTGACACATGATACAATATGTAATGAACCTTGAAGACATTATGCTAAGTGAAATAAGCCAGACATAAAAGGACAAATACTGTATGATTCCACTTATATGAAGTACTTAGAGTTTCAATTTGGGAAGATGAAAAAGTTTTGGAGATGGCTGGTGGTGATAGTTGCACAACAATGTGAATGTACTTAATGCCACTGACCTATATACCTAAAAATGGTTAAAATGGTAAATATTATGTCATGTATATTTTACTATAATTTTCAAAAAAATAAAGCAGACTGCTTCCCCCGCCGCAAAAAAAAAAAAAAAAAAAAAAAAAATTAATTCCATAGAGGAACGAAATAAAACTTCTCTTACCTCCAAATTATCAGGGCAATATTTTTGCTCTAGGTCCCAAGAGGGTGTTTCACCAAACATCACCATTAGATGATCAATAAACCTAAGGATAAAACATGTACTTTCTGGGTATCAATAACTCATGATCTATTTTCCCACATCGGTCCCCAGACACTAATTCAAAGTTATCTAGAATGTATAAAACATGAAATGCAGGCTTAACCCATTTGACAGCAGTACCCCAAATGTGTATATGTATCACTTGTCCTATTATGACATAATTTTATTTTATTTTATTTTATTTTTTTTTTTTGAGACAGGGTCTCGCTCTGTCACCCTGGCTAGAGTACAGTGGCATGATAACAGCTCACTGTAGCCTCGACTTCCGGGCTTAAGCAATTCCTCTACCTTAGCCTCCTGCATAGCTGAGACTACAGGCACATGCCACCATGCCTGGCTAATTTTTTTCTTTTTTTTGTAGAGATGGGGGTCTCCCTATATTGCCCAGGCTGGTCTCAAACTCCTGGGCTCAAATTATCCTCCTGCCTCAGCCTCCCAAAGTTATTGGGATTACAGGTGTGAGCCCTGCACCTGACTGACAGGATTTTCTTTTTTTCTTTTCTTTTCTTTTTTTTTTTGAGACAAAGTCTTGCTCTGTCACCAAGGCTGGAGTGTGGAGTACAGTGGAACAATCTCTGCTCACTGCAACCTTCACCTTCTGGGTTCAAGTGATTCTCGTGCCCCAGGCTCCCAGACAGCTGGGACTACAGGCATGCACCACCATGCCCGGCTAATTTTTTATATTTTTATTAGGCACGGGATTTTGCCATGTTTGCCAGGCTGGTCTTGAACTCCTGGCCTCTAGTGATCCTCCTGTCTTGGCCTCCCAAAGTGTTGGGATTACAGGCATGAGCCACCATGCCCAGCTGACATAATTTTCTTTAAACAGCTTCAAGGTTAAAAACATTTCTGGTAGGGTGCAGTGGCTCATGCCTGTAAATCCCAGCACTTTGGGAGGCCGAGGTGGGAGGAACATTCGAGCCCAGGAGTTCAAGACAAGCCTGGGCAACATAGAGAGACTCTGTGTCTACCAAAGAATTAAAAAATTACCCAGATGTGGTGATGTTCACCTGTAGTCCCAGCTACTTGAGAGGCTGAGGCAGGAGGATCACCTGAGCCTGGGGGCTGGAGGCTGTGATGAACCATAATCATGCCACTGCACTCCAGCCTGGGCAACAGAGCGAGACTTGGTCTCCAAAAAAAAAAAAAAAATTACAAAAAAACTTTTCTTACACTCTTACACTTAGACTCATTCTACACATTAACCCTATGAAATCACAAGTTAAGTCTGATATATATACATATCTATCAAAGACATACATATATCTCTTTTTTATTTTTTTTTTTTTTTGAGACAGAGTCTTGCTTTGTCACCCAGGCTGGAGTGTAGTGGCATGATCTCGGCTCACTGCACCCTCCACCTCCCAGGTTCAAGTGATTCTCATGCCTCAGCCTCCTGAGTAGCTGATATTACAGATGCCCAGCTAATTTTTTGTATTTTTAGTAGAGACTGGGTTTCACCATGTTGGCCAGGCTGGTCTCGAACTCCTGGCCTCAAGTAATCTGCCTGACTCGGCCTCCCAAAGTGCTGGGATTACAGGCATAAGCCACAGCGCCCAGCCTCTATATTTTTTTTTCTAATTAATATTCACTTAAATTGCTATGCATGTATTACCTAAAATGACTTCCTATTTCACCAGTGATGTGTACCACTCTTTGGCAAACACAATACTGTGGTGTTGCATGTACTAGCCCAGTTAGTATGACGATGAGACTTTTGTCTGTCGTTGCAAACCTAGTTAGTCAAGGTTCAGTCAGCTACAGGATAGAGAGGTTATTATCAAACCAGATGGTGTGAAACCCTCTAAACCATTATCTTCCCTTCTCAACCAAAAATCCACTCGTCCCTCCTGCCACAAAAACAGAGACAGCATGCAAGCAAAAGCAGAGGGCTCCTGGGCAAGTCAGTACCTGGAGTCCTCATGAAAAGCAGAGATGAAGTCCGACTGGGCATACTCTGGGTACAGAAAGAGCACAGGCCAGCTCAGCCTGCCCTGGCCATCTAGACTCAGCCTGGCTCCATGGGGGTTCTCAGTGCTGAGTCCATCCAGGAAAAGCTCACCTAGACCTTCTGAGGCTGAATCTTCATCCTCACAGGCAGCTTCTGAGAGCCTGATATTCCTAGCCTGGGTTAAAGACAGAAACACACACACATAATGCACATCTTATTGTGTGGGAGGATGCAAACCCATTTTACTGAAATAAAGAAACCATAATGCCTGGCTAATTTTTTTATTTTTTATTTATTTTTATTTTTTGAAGAGACGGAGTTTCACTATATTGCCCAGGCTGCACGACTAACTTTATTTTTAATTTAATTTTCTTCATCTGTACCCTGAATGAACATGGACAACTAACTTTAATACATCAAAAAACAAACAAACAAAAAAAAACACCATAACAATGGGAGCTCCCTGAGGGACAGCTCTACACACAATCCATCTTCATTATCCCTGAGGCCTGGCACATAGTAGGTACCACTTAACTCACCTTCATTGGGCATCTATCTTGTGCTGGACCCTGTGTCACAGAGAACTAGACATGGCTACCTGCCCTCAAGCCTCTGCTCAATATCAAGTGGTGAGACAGCTATGGAAATAATGATGATATAAGGTAAGAAGTGGAGTTGTAGTACCATAGACGATGGAATAATTAATTCAGCCTTGGGGGCTGGAGGTGACTGAGATATGCTAGGCCTTGAACAATGACTTTGAAAAGCAGAGAAGTTGGAAGGGAGGGGCACTTAGAAGGGAGGAAGAGCCTTCCACTCCAACGAGCAGCAAGTGCAAAAGGACAGAAAAGATAAAAAAAAAAAAAAAGAAATGTCAAATATTTCAGTTTAGTTGGGACATGGAATACTAGAAAGAGTGTGCATTGACTTAATCTTGACTGTCTCCTAGACATGGGCATAAATTAAGGGTCTGAAATAGTAGGGTCACCTCTTATGTAAGTGTGCAGGGGTGCCTAAGGTTAGCACATGAGGGGAAATGACATGCAATCAAAATTAGATTTGATGATATCCCCTAAATTGGAGGTTAGCAAACTTTTTCTTAAAGCATTAGATATGAAATATTTTAAGAGTTCTGGACAATGGTCTCTGTCAAAATTAACTACTCAACTCTGCCACTGTAGTGTGAAAACAGCCATAAGTAGTACATAAACAAATAGGCAGGGCTGTGTTCCAACGGCTGCAGTTTGCTGACTCCTCCCTTTAACCATTAGTAAAATACAGCATGCATGGCTTCGTGTACTGTTGAGAGTAACTCTTATGTATGCTAAGTTTGAGATGAAGGGTTACACTAAAGAAGAGAACCAAAAAAAAAAAAAAAAAGGATTTATGCAAATGTCTGGGTGTCTGGGCATCTCATATTCTACAATTAAGAAAACGAACAAATCCCTCACTGTGAATGAGAATTAGATGGAAAATCTGGAGTATTCTAATCTGTTTAACGTGTTAATACATGTAAACAGATTGTTGTGGGGAGGGAATAGTGGAGTATGTTTTAGCAGTGTTAAGTTTCTTACAGTCAACAAGTAACATAAATGGTGCATAATTTAACTGAACAAATAATAAAACAAAAAACCTACCCCGGTTGGGCACCGTGGCTCACGCCTATAATCCCAGCACTATAGGAGGCCAAGGCAGGTGGATCGCCTGAGGTCAAGAGTTCAAGACCAGCCTGACCAATATGGTGAAACCCCGTCTCTACTAAAAATACAAAAATTAGCTGGGCATGGTGGTGTGCACCTGTAGTCCCAGCTACTCGGGAGGCTGAAGCAGAATTGCTTGAACCCAGGAAGTGGAGGCTGCAGTGAGCCGAGATTGCACCACTGCACTCCAGCCTGGGTGACAGAGAGACATTCCATCTCAAAAAAAAAAAAAACCTATCCCATAATCTCCCAGCAGATATTCTCTCCTTTGTTAAGACCAAACAATCTCAAACAGGTGACTCCCTAGGTATCAAGGTTAAAGCAAGATTTGGGTCAGACTATATATATTTCAAAATACAGAAAAGAGAAAGACAGGGTGGCATTTTGTTATTGTTGTTGTTGTTATAGGAACAACATCCTAAAATGTCAGACTTTCTCAGGATGCTGTACAACCCAGTGGTTAAGAGCAAGGACCCGGCTCTAACACATGTTAGCTGTGTAAGGTTTCTTCACCTCTCTGAAACTATTATCCAAAAAAACAGAAGCAAGACAACCTATTTCAGAAGGCCACTGTGAAGCTTAAATAACACTTAACCCAAAGCAGGTATTCAGTACAGTAGTGTCCCCTTATCCACGGTTTTGCTTTCCACAGATTCAGTTACCAGTGGTCAACCATGGTCTGAAAATATTAAATGAAAAATTCCAGAAATAAACAACCTGTAAGTTTTAAATTATGCACTGAGTAGCAGATGATGAAATCACGGGCTCTGCTCTTTGGCCAGCACATCCACGCTGTAGATGATACCCACCTGTGAGTTAGCACCCATCTCAATGATCAGATTGACTGTCATGGTATCACAGTCCCTGTATTAAGTAACACTCATTTTACTTAATAAGGACCCCAAAGCACAAGAGTACTGATGCTGGCAATTCGGATATGCCAAATAGAAGCTATAAACTACCTCCTTTAAGTAAAAAGGTGAAATTTCTCAACTTAATTAGAAGAAAAATTGTATGCTGAGGTTGCTAAGATCTATGGTAAGAGCAACCTTCTATCTGTGAAATTACAAAGAAGGAAAAAGAAATTCATGCTAGTTTTGCTGTTGCTGATGTACCTCAAACTGCAAAAATTATGGCCACAGTGTGTGATAAGTGCTTTAGCTAAGATAGAAAAGGCATTATATTTGTGGGTGGAAGACACAAACAGAAATGTGTTCTGACTGATGGCAATCAGGTTTGGAACTATTTGAGATTTCAAGCATCCACTGTGGATCCTGGAATACATCTGCTTCAGGTAAGTGGAGACAACTGTATATGTTACTGAGACCAACACATGCACATGAGAGAGCTGACTGAACTGGGGTGGCCTGACTCCAGAGCCTGGTCTCCTCTGTCACACTGCTTTACCAAAGTAGAAAGAAAATGAACAAATTCCTTCAGGTAAAGCATCCCAAGAAAGGTTCCCAACAAGCTTCACAGGATTAGTGGATTTAGCAGGACCATAAAAACCTAAGGTTTAAGAACTCACCTTGATGGCCTGGAGTAAAGCCTCATTCTGATTCCTCTCCTTCTTTTCTTTCAAGTTGGCTTTCCTCACATCCCTCTGTTCAATTCGCTAAAAATGAAATTTAGATGCATCAGCTCTAGAGACCTGGCTTCCTCTTCTATTGCACTAGCCTGCTCCTAAATTATTATCTCTGGCCTCTATCCAACCCAAGCTCCTGTGTTAAGGAATACCAGTGGCCAGATTCAGTTCAATAAACATTTACAAAGTACATGCCTAGATGTCAGACCCAGTGGCAGCAGCAGTTTAAATTTACTTCCTGTATGTACCCAAGGAACTCACAGTCTACTGAGGGGTTGAGGGGTACAGACAAGTAAAGAGCCAGTATAACAGGTGGATTATGTACTACTCTGGTCGTGTGATCCGAGTGCTACGAAACATAGCCTGGGTGACAGAAACCCTGTCTCTATAGATTTTTTTTAAAAAGTATAACCACCCTAGTGGGTATGCAATGGTATCTTACTATGGTTTTGATTTGCATTTCCTAATTATTAATGATGTTGAACATCTTTTCATGTGCTTTTTGGCCATTTGTGTGTCTTTGGAGAAGTGTCTATTCACATCCTTTCCTCATTTAAAAAACTGAGTTACCTGTCTTATTGAGATGATAAGAGTTGTTTATATGTTGTAGATAAAAGTCCCTTATGACTTACCAATATTGTCTTCCATTCTGTGGGCTTTTTCACTTTTTTTTTTTTTTTTTTTTTTGTAGAGATGAGGTCTCACTTTGTTGCCCAGGTTGGTCTCGAATTCCTGGCCTCAAGTGGTCCTCCTGCCCTGGCCTCCCAAAATGCTAGGATTACAGGTGTGAGCCACTGCATCTGGCCCCTTTTCACTTTTTTCTTCACATTTATCTTTTCATTTTTTTGATGGTATCCTTTGAAGCAAAAAGTTTTTACTTTTGATGAAGTGCAATCAATCTACTTTTCCTTTTGTTGCTTGTGCTTTGTGTCATATCCAAGTTCATGAAGATTCATATCTATGTTTTCTTTTAAGAGTTGTATAGTCTTAGCTCTTACATTTGGGTATTTGATCTACTTTGGGTAACTTTTTTATATAGTATGAGGTAAAGTTCTAGCTTCATTCTCCCACATGTGAATATCCAGTTGTCCCACTATCCTTTGTTGAAAAGATTACCTCCCTATTGAATGGTCTTGGCACACTTGTTGAAAATAAATTCCCCATAAATGTGAGGGCTTATTTCTGAGCTCTAAATTTTATTACATTGACCTATATGTCTATTGTTATGCCAGTACCACAATGCCTTGATTACTGTAGCTCTGTCGTATGTTTTGAAATTGGGAAGTGTGAGTCTTCCAATTTTGTTTTTTTTTTTTTTTTGTCTTTCATGATTGTTGGTCATTCAGAGTCCCTTGAATTTCTATGTGAATATTATGATCAGCCTGTCCATTTCTGCAGAGAAGCCAATTGGACTTTTGATACAGATTGCACTGAAATTAGCCAGATGTGGCATCACATGCCTATAGTCCCAGTTGCTTGGGAGACTGAGGCAGGAGGGCTGCTTGAGCCCAGGAGTTTGAGGTTGCAGCGAGCCATGATCATACCACTGCACTCCAGCCTGAATATTAGAGCAAGTTCATGTCTCAAAAAAGAAAATTACACTGAATTGATACACTAATTTTGGGAGTATTGCCATCTAACAATATTAAGATCTAATCTATGAACATGGGATGTCTTCCTATTTACTTAGGTCTTCTTTAATTTCTTTCAACAATGTTTTTTGTATTTTTAGAGTATAAGTTTTAGCTACTTTTGTTAAATGTACTCATAAGTGTTTTTTGATGCTATTTAAAATGGAATTGTTTTCTTAAGTTCATTTTCAGAGTGTTCATTAAAAATCTATAGAATACAAATGATTTTTGTGTACTGGTGATGTTGTTTCCAACAAGCTTGCTGAACTTAGTTCCAAGAGTTTTTTAGTGGATCCCTTAGGATTTTCTATATACACGGTCAAGTTGTCTGCATATAGATGGTTTTACTACTACTTCTCTTCCACTCTTTCATTTTTGAAGAATAGATTTGCTAGATATAGAATTCTTACAGTCTTTTTCTTTTAGCTCTTTGAATATGTCATTTACCTGCCTTTTGGCCTTCATGGCTTCTGATGAGAAAGCTGTTAATTTTCCTTAGGATTTTTTGTACATAAAGAGTCATTTTTCTCTTGCTGCTTTTAAGGTTCTCTTCTTTGTTTTTCAACAGTTTAATTATAATGTGTTTAGGTAGAGATCACTTTAAGTTTATCCCACTTATAGTTTGTTAAACTTTTTGGATGTATACATCAGTGTTTTTCACCAAATTTGGGAAGTTTATGGCCAATATTTCCCCAAGTATTCTTTTGCCCATTCTCTCTCTTCTCTCCTTCTAGGACCCCCACTATGCCTTTGTTGGTATGCTTGATGGCATCATACAAGTCTCTCTTCATCCTTATTCTTTTCTCATTCTGTTCTTCAGACTGGATAATCTCAACTGATACATCTTAAGTGTGATGATTCTCATTACTGCCTGCTCAAATGCGCTGTTGAGCCCCTCTAGTGAATTTTTCATTTCAGTTATTGTACTTTTCAACTACAGAACTTCTGTTAAGTTCTTTTTAGTAACTTCTCTTTGTTGATATTCTCTATTTGGAAAGACATCATTCTCATACTTTTTTTAGTTCTTTAGACACTATTTCCTTTCATTCTGAGAAGATATTTAAATTAGCTGGTTTAAAGTCTTTGTCTAGTAAGTCCCACATCTAGGCTTCCTCTAGCTAATGACCAGACAGTAAGTCTTCCAATCTTTGTCAAGAGGCTTTGTGTACATGTTGAAGCACATTTTTAGCATTCACCCAAGCAGTTTACAATTCTACCTTAGCCTTCACTTCCTTCTTGCAGAGACTCTGAGAGCTTAGGGTCTTCTCAGGTCTTTCCTGAGCACATGTATAGCCCTGGGCACATGTGTGACCATCTAGATCTTCAGGAATACTGGAGCTTTTCGGAGCCCCCACAGAATTTCATTCCCCAGTTTTTCCTTTTAAGCTTTATGATGCACCTATTGTTTGCTCCAGTGTTATCCACTGCTTCAGCTTCTACAATCTTTAACAATTGCCTCTAATTGTTTTTTGACAAATTCTCTCCCACCTTTTCATTCCCCCTATTTTCTGGCCCTATGTAAAAAAGCTTTTTATACTGGGTAAGCTCCAAGTCAGGTCATATAAAAATAGCCCTGTGAGCGGGGTCTTCCAGGGATCTACCAGATGGTCAAATCATCACAGTTCTCTGGGAAAAGGCTTTGAAAGAGCTCCAACCCTGTTCTGCCTCCTCTGGTGGCTGCAGGCTGCTCATTTTCACCATGACTGTGGGCTACTGGCTTTCAAGGCTACTGTGGAACTGGAGAGGAGGGAGATGAGAATAGAGCAAGTTAAAATGTCACAAAGCTTGCTGTTCTTACTGAGGTTCCAACATTTTTCTTGAATAAACATGCTCCAGATTGCTGCAAACCTCTGGTTCATTTCCAGAGTCCTAGAAAAGTGAATTCTGATCATTTTTGCCAGTTTCCTCATTGATTTTATGGAGGAGAAAAATTGTAAAGGTCTTTAGTCCACCACTGTGATTGACACTACCCCTCTCTATTTTTTAAATACTGGTTTTATTAATTACTGAGATAGTTGATATTTCCACCTATTTGTGGATTTGTCTCTTCCTTCTTTGAGTTGTCAAGTTTTGCATCATGCATTTTGAAGCTGTTAGTAGGTGCCTACACATTTAGAATTGTTAAATATTCTTATAAGCTGGTCCTTTTATCATTTAAAAAAATGCTTCAGTGGCTGGGCACAGTGGCTCATGCCTGTAATTCTAGCACTTTGGAAGGCTAAGGCAGGAGGATTAAAGCCCAGGAGTTTGAGACCAGCCTGGGCAACATAGTGAAACCCCAACTCTACAAATTTACAAATTAAAAAAAAAAATTAGCCTGGCATGGTGGTGCACGCCTGTAGTTCCAGCTACTCAGGAGATTGAGGCAGGAGGATCAGTTGATCCCAGGAGGTCAAGGCTGCAGGAAGCCATGATCATGCCACTGCACTCCAGCCTGGGCAACAGAGCAAGACTCTGTCTCATGAAAAAAAAAAAAGAAAAAAAGCTTCACTTCATCTCTGGTAACACTTGCTGCCTTGAAGTCTACTCTGTCTGATATTAACATAGCCACAAGTCTGTTGGCTATATGCCAAGCACATAGGAACCCAGAATCAGCTTGTACTCAGACACAGGGGAATACTTCAGCTATTCAGCAAGTAATGTCACCTAGACCTAATATCAGGCTTCTGGGCCTTGAAATCTCCCTTTAATTGTGACTGTCCCCAGTAGCCCTCTAGACATTCATTCCTGTATATACCACTTTCAGAAATTCTGGCCATACCCAATTACCTAGGCTCAGAATTCTGTTATTGAGCCATGTGGGTCCATAGAGATCTACCTTTTCTACCATTTCATATGACCAGAATGACCTCTGGTCATTGCTGATGATATATGACATTTCTGGCACATAACAGCTAAAATGATGATTAAAAACAGTAATAATAACAGAATACCATCACTACCCAAAATAATATCCAACATTTAAATAGCACTACTGTGTGTGTGCTCCAGGTGTTATTTAAAAACATTCCTTACGTTAAACCATCTAAACTATATAATAGCCCTATAAGGTAGGAAATATTTTAATTCTCCTTCTACTAGTGAGGTAGCTAAAGCACAAAGAGATCAGCAAGTTGTCCAAGTCACATAACTGTCATGAAGGGAGTCTTCAAATTCAGGCAGTGGCTCCAGAGTCTAAGCTCTTAGCCACTGTGTAATACTGTCTTACATGCCTGTTAATAGAAAGCCAGAACTAGTCTTAAGGTCTCTTAATTCCTGGTTTAGGTCTCTCTTCATGGCTTATACTACGGAATGGGAGTATATAATATACACTGGGAGTCTTTAGCTGGCCCTGAACACGTGACATTGTTATGTGACTGTATATAGTAATGGTATCTAATTTTGCCCTGGACAAGACGTGTCTCCATTCAGATTGATGGGGATACATTCTGAAAAATGCACAATCATTGTTGTACAAGCATCATGGAATGTACTTACACAAACTGAGATGGTATAGCCTGCTACATACCTAGATTATATGGTACAGCCTATTGCACCCAAGCTACAAACCTGTAAAGCACATAACTACACTGAATCCTGTAGGCAACTGTAACACAATGGTAAGTATCTGTGTAGCTAAACACATCTAAACACAGAAAAAGCACAGTTAAAATATGGCATCATAATCTTATGGGACCACTGTAATATATACGGAGTTCCATCATTGAATGAAACACTGTTATGTGGCACATGACTGTACTACCACTATACACACCATCTATCCTTGCTTACCTCTATATCACACTATAACTGTTTACTTGTCTGTGTGCTCCACAGAGTTCCAGGAGTAGGGACTAGTTTTGGGTTTTGTTTTTAAAAAGTTTACAATGACTTGAGAGACACAATCTTGGGAATGCTAATTACTGCTAATTAGCAAATGCTAATTGGTTGCTGACAGTCACCAACCTTCAGCTTGTCTGCTTTAGCCCTCATTTCCAGAAGCTTCTTCTCTTTGGCATCTATTTGCAGTCCCTCATCACACCAGTTCACGGCCTCGGCAAAGTGTTTCAGTTCCAGATGGCATAAGGCACCTGCAGAACCCAGAACCCTTAGGATTCAAGAAAAACATGCATGGAAAGAACCTGCTTTGGGCAAGATCTCCCATCCCCCACCAACTACCAGCCAGTACCCTGAAGGCAAAATGGAGGATAATGCCCCTTATACTGCAGTCCCCAGACAAGGGAGAATACTTTTTGTGTCCTAAATCAGAAAAATCCCTAAGGTCCATTTAGTTCAAAACTCCTGTAAGTCTCCCTGGTATTAAGGGCTCTTAAAGTAGGAAAAGCTATAACTTAGTGGCAAACCAGATAGATCAAGGCTAGAAATCTGGCTGTGTCATTTACCAGCTAGACCTTAGACAAAGGACCAAGCATATCCAAGCTTTAGGTTCCTCATCTGCAAACAGGAAGAATAAAGTCCATCCCAGATGATTTTTTCAATGGAGGGAAAAAGCAGACTTTGCTTCAGCTATTCATCAAGGCAGTGGCAAGGCCAAAAACATTAGGTGTCTCCTAATTTTGTTCTTTATGGCTACCAGTTTAAGCTGCCTCTCCCCCATCAAAAAAAAAAAAAAAAATTTCATGTTATCATGTACATTTTTCTCCAGTTAGCCTCTTTAGGTTTTCCACAGAATTTCAAAATATAAGCATTGTAAGGGCTTAGATGCCAACAGATTCTAACCCCATCTTCTAGAGATGAGCAAACTGATATTCAAAGTGGGTGTCTTGCCAAGGTCACATTGTAAATTAAACCAACAACTGAATCAAGGATTACACACTTCTAGCCTGAGGCAAATTCCACAGGATTACCTAGATTCAATTTATCAGCCAATCTTTGTTCAGTACCTTCTTTTCCTACAGCTGAGGGACATGGATCTTCCTACTGCCCTTAACCATGAACATTTAAAGAGGCATAATTTTGAAAAAGCATTTTAAGCTGGTCCATGGGGATGCAGGGAAGATTAATATGTGATGAATAAATTAAAGTTTGCAAAGCACCTATGAGCTTCTCAAAGAAAAGGTGAAGTATAAAAGTAATAAAAGCACTGTTATTACATAGAAAGGTCAGACTACAAGAGAAAACATAATCTGAGAACATCTCAGCACCAAAGTCATCAGCAAAGGTCCCATAACTTATCTTTTAATTAACATTAACATGGCATTTGAAGACCTTGCCTTTCAATCAGCTAATTTGGAAAAAAAATCAGAATATGGCTTTGCAACTGCTTTGTTTTAATTAATTTTATTTTTTATTAATTTAAAATGAGGGGCTTCTAGTTCTCTACAAATTATTATTACATAAAGGGTTAAGTCACTCTCTGAGGAATTCTTTTAAAAGTGGCATGTTGCTGTTGATAAGGAACAGGAACTTAATACCCAGACTGCAAAAATAAGATGACTTTATTAGTATCCTAGCACCTTCATATCAAAGCTTTAAATGTCATACTGTAGTTCCACAAGACTTACCTCTTATTATTGCTTTGAGGTGGCAGGGTTTTAGCTTTCTGGCAGCTGTCACATCATTGAGAGCAGAACGAAAATTGCCTAACAAAACACCGTTTAGTAAAAGAGAGAAGTTTTGAGATCAAAATGTTTCCAAAATTTTATATGTAGTGACAAAGACACTCTTGTACAATCCTGGGGAAATACAAATGAGAGCAACTGTTTTTTTGAAAAAATATGGTTGTACTTGTCAAGAGCCTTAGAAATGTCTATAACAGGCAATCTACAGAACTGTAAATGGCTAGTAAGCACATGAAAAGACGTTCAACATCACTAATGATTAGGAAATTAAAATTAAGAAATTGCTAAAAGTTAGACAAATAATATCTAGTATTAGAAAAGATATGGAAAAGGGGTACTCTCAGGGTAAATTAGAAAGCAAATTAGCATGTATTTTGTACATATACTTTGACACAACAATTTTCTTCTGGAAAATTATCAAAAATACTTGAACAAATGTGCAGGGATAAATGTAAAAGCATGTTAACTACAGCATTACTTTAATTGTGAAAAGCTGGAGATAACTCAAATATCCTCAATTTGGTAATGATTACATGAATTATGGTAAATCCATACTATTGAATACTATGCAGCCATTAAAAAGAATGAGATAGATCCTCATGTAAGAAACACGGTAGGATGTCTGTTCTATATTGTTTTAAGTGGTGGTTCTATGAGTATAGAGGAAGCCTATTTAAAAAAAAAAAAAAACTAAATATCTAGACACACATGTATATATTTGTAAGTGCATTAAAAAAAAAAAAAAAGTATGCAGTCACACACATACCAGTTATCCAAACTAGCAAGCCATGAGGTATACTTTAACTTTCTGGAGTATACTATAATTATTACTTAATGGTTTAGTATTTACCTAAATCTCTAGCCCAGGGGTCAGCAAAATATTTTGTAAAGGGCCAGATAAATATTTTAGGTGTTGCAGGCCACATGTGGTCTACTGCACATTCTTCTTCATTTTATTACAATTCTTGAAAAATGTAAGAAACCTCTGGGGAGGTGGCTCACTCCTGCAATCCCAGCACTATGGGAGACCGAGGTGAGAGGATTGCTTAAGACCAGGAGTTCAAGACCAGCCTGGGCAATATAGCAAGACTCTCTCTCTACAAAAAATTTTTTAAAAATTAGCTGGGCATGGTGGTACATGCCTATAGTTCTACCTACTCGGGAGGCAGAAGTGGGAGAATTGCTTGAGCCCAGGAGTCTAAGATTGCACTATGCTATGATCACAGCTAGTACACTCCAGCCTGAACAGAGTAAGACCCTGTCACTTTAAAAAAAAAAAAAAAAAAAGTATGGAACATTTTTAGTTCATGGCAAGCCAAGGGGCCAGGGGTGGACTCTGAGTCCTAGTTTGCCAAATCGTGCTTTAGCCTAATGAATAATCAGAATTATCAGAAAAATATTATGACTTTATTTATTTTTGCATTATTTATAAAAACCAAAAAACAGTCTATATACTCAACAATAGCAGACTAATAAAGCAAACAGTATAAATAGTGGCATGTCCATATGATGCAACTTTAGCTATTGAAATAACATTCAGAAATGATTTTTAATGACGGTGAAATTGTTTGTTATAAAATTAAGTGAAAAAACTGAATATCAAACTGGAAGAACAGCAGGATCTCAACCATGGAAAAAAATGCACATGAAAGGGATCCAAGGACTTTTAGTTAAAGGAGGCAGATTGAACACATACATTTAACTCAATCCCCACTCTCTCTCCCATAAAGACAAAGAAAATGAGAAGAACACAGAACACATTGTGAAAGCTGGAAAACAAAGGAACAAGTAACTGATGTATCAGGCTTAAGGAAACTGAATTCTAAACCAGTAGAGGGAAAGCACAAAAGCTACCAAGCTGCACTGCAGAAACTACAAAGTACTCAGGACTCAGGAACTGATGGCACCAGGTACCTCTGGAAGTGGGGGTGAAGGTGGGTTGAAAATCTACTTAAGAAGCAGTCAGAGTCCCATATTCCTTACCCCTCTGCTGCACCAGTGACCTACTCCTCCCCTGTTCCTCCAGGTGGAGGACTGGAGGTTTACCCTAGCAGACAATAAAACAGTAGGTCTCTGGACTGGAACCCCCAGGCACAAAGGTGATTCAGTAAAGGAAATATTAAAGATTGAGCCCTTGGTCCTCTTCTCCTACTTGGTTCCCAAAGTACCAGCAGCCAGGATTTCCAAAAAGAGAAAAAAGAGTAAAAAAGAAAAAGAAAAATATCAAAGCATTCAGGAAAATGTCCTAGAAACATGAGTTTCCAGACTGAAAAGGTCCACTGAGTACACAGCACATTGGGAGACCAAGGCAGGTGGATCACTTGAGCTCAGGAGTTCAAGGCCAGCCTGGGCAACATAGCGAGACCCCTGTCTCAATTAAAAAAATAAATTATTTTTAAAAAAAACCCACAGGTCTAACATAACCAAGACTAGTCACCAGCAATACTACTTAAATAATCATTTCCCAAATTTACGACTACAGAACCTGCATGATGTTGGTGTTACCTGAAGAGGAGGCTTACAAAATTTGAGAAACCCAGGGTAAATTTATTTTCTTGCAGGCTATCTCAGTGTCTTTAACATGTTAACATGTACTGTAAATCTCTAAGAAGCAGCATTTTCCAAACTTCCTCAATCTCCTGGGTGCGGTGGCTCACACCTGTAATTCCAATACTTTGGGAGGCTGAGGCGGATGGATCACTTGAGCCCAATTTCGAGACCAGCCCGGGCAACATGGCAAAACCCTGTCTCTACAAAAAAATGTAATAAAGTAAAAAATATGAATAAATAAATGAGTTAAAATTCCTCATCCAAGCAACTTTTTAGAAACAGGGTCTCACTTTGTCACCCAGGCTGGAGTGCAGTGGTGTGATTATGGCTCCCTGTAGCCTTGAGCGATCCTCGTGCCTCAGCCTCCCAAGTAGCTAGGACTACAGGCAGGCACCACCATGCCCAGCTAAATTTTTGGAGAGACAGGGTCTCACTATATTGCCCAGGTTGGTCTTGAACTCCTGGCCTCAGGCGATCCTCCTGTCTCAGCCTCCCAAAGTGCTTGGATTACAGGTATGAGCCACTGCACCCAACCAAAAAATATTTTTAACTCAAAGGTCCCACAGAACGCTTTGAGATATTCTCCCTTAGATTAAAATAGCTTATCTCACCTAAAGATCTCTACTGCCTTACTCCTGCTAGCATCCTTGAAAAGAGGATAAAAGGCCAGAAAAACACATTTTTTGAGAGAGTAGAAGCCCTTGGGCTCAAAAATCTCAGAACATACTGCCTCATACATCAAACACCTTACTTGAGTGACCAAGTCACTTTTTGGGTTGAGACAGTAAGAATTACACAATCCATCCTGTTTCTCTTTTCATCATGTCAACTTGGAAGACCAGAGTTCAATCAGAGTAAACTATCCTTAGTCTGGGTTTCTGGGATAACAGCCCCTCATCCTCTGATGTTCTCAAACCTCCACTAACCATCATAATGGCTTGTATCATAAGTTTATTCTTCAGAAAGCACTTATAAATTACCCAGATAGTACTGTGCTGCTGCCCGGTTGGTATAAAGGACAGCATTCAAATCAGGATCTGCACATTTCTTCTTTAAGCCTTCAGTGTATGAAATTACAGCTTTCTTGTAGTCTTTTTCTTTAAAGTAATCATTGCCCTCATCTTTATAGGTCTTGGCCTGTTCTGCAAAGAAGAGGAAAAATAATCACTATTGCTTACTTTTTAAAAGGCTCATTAAAAATAGATTCTAAATCATGTAATAATGTACTATATGACACACCAAAGCGAAGAAACCAATAGGGAAAGGAAACTCGATGTTATGATAAAAGTGGGTATCAACATGGACAAAGTCGCACAAATGTAATGCTAATTCCAAATATCTTACAAGGTAGATTACTAAGTGCTTTCCAAAAAAAAGAAGTATAAAGGAAAAAAGTACACTCATCCTAGCTGTTGAAGAAAAGAATTTTTTTTAATCACTGAAGAAATCAGTGAGGGGCAGGGGGATTGATTATACTTCTGCTTTTGCTTATGTTGTTTATTCTGTGGAGTGCAAATTCCCCTCCTCACCCTAGTAAAAGCCTACAAAATTACAAAGATTCAGCTCAAATTTCCTATCTATTGTGAATCCACTCCTGCTCCTTAAAGTGTTCCAACAGGACCCACTACAGCTGTAGTATACACCTACATGTTGACACTTATAGCATAAGTTTGTCTTGATTCTTTAAGACAAAAGGCTTCTCACTGAGCCTGACCTTGGAGGGTGGAACTGTGTCTTATTCACCCCTGTATCCCCAGTCCTTACCACTTAGTAGGTACAAAAAGAAGTATATTGGAATGAATAATGACAAGTTAGCTCAGGCTAACTACTTCTTGTTATCAATCAGAACGCTTCTAACCCACACTTAATTTCAGTTCAATGGAAACACAAAACAAATATTAGTCATGTTAAGATACCTTCTGGAGAACGCTCCTCATCAAAAATAATTGACTGGAGACAAGCCAAGTCAGGATTCTCCCTGGGATCAATTTCTGATGGCGCTCTCGACATAAATAGGGGGACCTTTTCAAATTCCTGTAAATGGTTAAGAATGAACTACATGAATAAGCTTTTCTACTGAGCAGATCCAATTCCATGACTCATTACCAAAGTTTTTTTACTCATCATGATTTGCAAATCATCACAGCTAGCTGTATCCATTCAGGCCTCCGCTTCCCTTCTGTAAAATGGGAGTGTGGTGTAATGGTCTCTAATGATTGTTTTAGTTCTCACATTCTACAAGAGCGGCAGGAATTACCATTAATTGAGCGCCCTTATGTTCTTGGCACTTTACCAACTGTCTCATTTCATCTTTGCTATTGGTGATATAGTTCGCGCAGTTTTACAGATGAGGAAACGGACTCTGAGAAGTTAAGTAACTGACTCATATCAGAGCCAGTTAAGTGGTGGAGTCACAGGCCTGACTCCAAAACCTAGGTTCTCAGCTTAAGAAGCGACTCAAAACCTCGAGGCCGATTTTCAATACTCAACTAGAAACCAGCGATCGGCTGGCAGCGCCAGGGATCTGGGATTGAAGGAGGTGCCCCAGAGCCCGGGTGCCCCACGAGTCCGGACGACGCCCCTACACACGTGGGGAGACCCCAGGACCGCCCACCTTCTCCCACTGGTCCTCATGAAAGCCGCCACGGTAAGGCTGGCTCTGGAACTTTTCCAGGAACGAGTCCATGACGTCGTCTGAGGTGGGATCCTGCCCAGGTTGTTCCATAGCTGATGCCCTGCCTTCCAGCCCGGGTCCCAGCGCCGTGAAGCGAGCGGCTCCTTCCGGCGGCGCGGGTTCCCTTCCCTCAATCCTCCCGGCAGCGCAGGTCCCCGCGCCTTGGGTTCCGCCGGCCTGGGGGCGTGGCCGGGCGTGGCCAATACGCTCCTCCCCCGGCCCGCCCTCCTCGGCAGTGCCTGGCCTCGCCCGGCCTTCGAATGCTTTTGGGGTGGTGCGTGAACCCGAATCCCCAAAGCCCCCATCTCACTTCATTCATTTGTTCGTCAGTCAGTCAACACATACTTACTTAGCTCTTTCTGCGCTTCCGGCCTGTTCTAGTGGCTGGCTATATAGCGGTGGGCAGAGCAGATGAAATCTCTGCCCTCTAGGAGTTGCTAAGGCAGTGGGGAGGAAACGACAATAGTTGAGATGTAAGAGTTTGTCAGGGGTAGCAAGAGCTATTGGGGAAAAGTTTTAAACAGGATGGGTAGACATTCTGCCAGAGGCCTGGGAGTGACTAGGAGGGGTCTGGGAAAGGCATTCCCATGGAAGGAACAGGGAACAGTCCGGAAGCCTGATGCGGGAGAGTCTTCTGTGCTTGGGGAACAGCAAGGAGGCCAGTGGGGCTGAAGCAGAGTGAGGAAGGGGGCAAGGAGATGATGAGGTGGGAGGACAAAAGGGCTGTGACTATGAGGATTTGGCTATTTCCTCAGTGGTATGGGACCTTTTGGAGAGTTTCGAGGAAAGGAGAGACTGATCAGACCTCTGTCTCTGAGCTTAGCCACCCCTAACTCCCACAGTTCAGATGGAAAAGGGTCTTCGGTCCAGGTGCTGCAGGCCTGGTTAGGCAGCCGCTGTGGCTTCCTGCAGCCTCTCTACCGGCCAGCAAATGGCTGCAGGTCCCTGCACCGGGGCTACAGCCTTGGGGAGCTCCTAGCCTGGTCTGGAATGAAAAGCAGACAGGAAGCACACCAATCTAAACTGGCATTGGGTCACAGGTCTGCTCAGTGAAGGCTCAGAGGGGTGGGATTCAAGGTGATGCAGAGCTGAGATCAGAGCTGAGGAAGGTCTCTGCAGATGGATAGAGGACTCAGCGTTTTAGGCAGTGGGAGCTCATATGTGGAGAGAGGCATGGAGGTGTGCACAGGCCCGCCATGCTGGGTACTGCAAGTGTTAAGAGGTGTGTCCAGGGCCGGGCACGGTGGCTCACGCCTGTAATCCCAGCACTTTGGGGGGCTGAGGCGGGCAGTTCATGAGGTCAGGAGTTCGAGACCATCCTGGCTAACACAGTGAAACCCCGTCTCTACTAAAAATACAAAAAATTAGCCAGGCGTGGTGGCACGCACCTGTAGTCCCAGCTACTGGGGAGGCTGGGGCAGGAGAATCGCTTGAATCCGGGAGGTGGAGGTTGCAGTGAGCCGAGATTGCGCCACTGCACTCCAGCCTGGGCCACAGAGCAAGACTCCACCTCAAAAAAAAAAAGAGGTGTGGCCGGCAAGTGGGTAGGGGCCAGAAGGCCTGCCTGCCTCACTGACCTTGGTCCTGCAGAGGATAATGAGTCACTGAAAAGACCTAAGAGGAGCAATGGCCGTGAGCACATTTGTCTTAGGAAGGCCTGGGCTGCCAGGTGAAGCATTGATGGGGGGAGGTTGGTTAAGAGATTGACAAGGAGGATGCTGATAAGAGACCAAGGTAAGACAGAGATCTGAAGCCCAGCAGTGGAGCTGGCAGGGTAGTCATTCTTTGATATGGGGATGGAGACAGCATGGCTAAGGATGGCGCATGGGGACCATGAGCCTTCCAGTGCCAGGACTTTATCTTTTCCCTTCTGATTCTTCCACACCCAGCAGAACATCTGGTCCTAGCACTCCCTTCCCTCCAAATCCAAACCTCCTTTTCCACACTTCCTCCTCCAGCCCTGCTCCCTAATCCTGGTTCCCTCCCTTATTCTCCTCTTCATCATCTTTTCCTTTACTGAGTCCAGAGCCTACAGAGTCTTTTTGCTTTCTTTTTTTTCTCATTTGATTCCCATAAGAACACTGTGAGGTATGAACCCATTTTATAGGTAACAATAGGGGAACCTAAGAGAAGCAAAGTGACTTGCCCAGCACACTCTGAACCTTCCAACTCAAAACTACTTAGTGGTCTTGGCCGATAACTGAGTCGATCAGCCTTTGCTGTGCTTAGGGGCCACCCAGACCCAAAATATAGCAGCTGTCATCTGTCAAGGCCACCCTAGACCTGGGTCCTAGCCCATGAAAGCAGAAGTGGTTCTGGGTGGAAGGGTTCAGGTATAGGAGTCTGGAGATCTTCGGGACCTACACTTCCATTAGTTACCTTGCATGACCTTGGGCAAGGCCCATCCCTCATTAAGCTGTGTCCTCATCTGTGGAATGTGGGCAATAAAGCCAGTCTGCCTTCCCCATAATCCAGTCTGCCTTCCCCATAATCCAGTCTGCCTTCCCCATAATCCAGTCTGCCTTCCCCATAATCCATTCTGCCTTCCCCATAATCCACAGGGCTACTGTAAGACTCCAAGGAGGCAATGTTTGTGAACATTCTCAGTGATGGAAAGGATTGTGCAAATGAATCTCCCCATTTCCTACTCTCTCTCTCAGGCCCAGAATACCAATGGCCTGGGCTACCATTTATTAGAAGATGATTGTGTGGTCAACATCATGGGTTCCTCACCCCCAACAGGAGCTTAAGTTAGGTGCTCCACAGGCTGATGTCTCTGCCCACTCTACATACTCTCCCAGGGAAATTGTACCCCAGCCCCTACACACAGATGAATCCCAAATCTGCTTCCTTCTCAGGTCCCTCAGCTGAGCTCCACCCGTGTCCCTTTGTGCCCGCCATAGTCTATTCAGGCTGCTATAACGGAATACCATCAACTCTGGTGTGTAAACAGCAAACATTTATTTCTCACAGTTGTGGAGGCTGGGAAGTCCGAGATCAAGGCCTGGCAGATTCGGTGTCTGGTGAGGGCCTGCTTTCTGGTTCACAGATGCCATCTTCTCAGTGTCCTCCCATGGTGTGAGTAGTGAGGGAGCTCTCTGAAGGCTCTTTTTTATAAGGGCACTAATCCCATTCACTAATCCCTAATCACCTCTCAAAGGCCCCCACCTCCTAATATAATGACCTTGGGGGTTCGGATTTCATATGAATTTGCAGGGACACAGCATTCAGACCACAGCGGCAGCCAACTGCCCTGTGGATATCTCCACTAGCTTGCTGCACAGTCCCTCAAGCTTACCATGCCCATATTGAACTCATCCCCTGCCCCACAACCTGCTCCTGGTCCTGGGTTCACCACTTAGTGTGGGCTCCATTGGCTTAGTCATCCACCCAGAAATCTGGGTGCCAAACTCAGCTCCTCCCTCTCCCTCCTCCCTCCTCCATTCTGTCAACCACTAGGCTCTGAAAATCCCCTTCCTCAGTCTCCTGCAGGCCTGGCCATCCTCTCCATTTTGTGCTGCAAGGTCTGGTCACTGTTCTCTCAGCAGTTTCTGGCTAAGTCTCCCTGATGGTGCTCTTGTCCACCCTGCCATCCAGCCCTTTCACTCCATGACATAGTGAGCTTCTTCTGCTTCCTTTTTTATTTACTCCCTTTTATACCCCAAAGCCCTCCTCCTTACCCTAATCAATCATTCTAGCATGTTTTATTAGCATTTTTTTGTTTTGTTTTATAGAGATGGAGGTCTCACTATGTTGCCCAGGCTGGTCTTGAACTCCTGGCCTCAAGTGATCCTCCCACCTTGGCCTCTTAAAGTGTTGGGATTACAGGCATGAGCCACCACACCTGGCCTCTAGTGTGTTTACTGTGTCTTCTCAGTTTCTAAGTGTTCTTCCAAAATGTGAATTCTTTTGTGTGTACATTCTTTTTTTTTTTTTTTTTTTTTTTTGAGATGGAGTTTCACTCTTATTGCCTAGGCAGGAGTGCAATGGCGCGACCTTGGCTCACTGCAACCTCCGCCTCCCAGGTTCAAGCGATTCTCCTGCCTCAGCCTCCTGAGTAGCTGGGATTACAGGTATGCGCCACCACGCCTGGCTAATTTTGTATTTCTAGTAGAGACGGGGTTTAACCATGTTTGTCAGGCTGGTCTCGAACTCCTGACTCAGGTGATCCACCCGCTTCAGGCTCCCAAAGTGCTGGCATTACAGAAGTAAGCCACCGCGCCTGGCCAACTTTTGTGTATACATTCTTGATACACTTTTTCCCCTCAGCACTGGGTTTTAGGTCCCATCTGGCAGCCCCGAACTGCTGTGCAGGGCTCCACGGCACACATACTCTCCCAAGGGGTGGATACCCAGGCTGCCTCCTCTCCCCACCACCACAAAGAACACTGATCAACTTCCTCATGCATCTCTCTTTATGGACCTGTGGAATATTCCCCCGAGCTATGTATCCATGAGTGGAACTGCTCAGTCGTGGGTATGCATGAACTTAATAAGACTGAAGTGACCGAATAATGACAGATTTCTACAGATTCCAGAAGAGCGGCACCAATTTACCATCTTACCAGCAGTGCCTGAGGGTTCCTGTATCCCCAGGAGGAGGTGCCTTCTAAAGCAGGCATCTGTCTACATCCCTCCCCTGCTTAGCATCCCACAATGCCTTACCACTCCTATCTGGATGAAGTCTCCCTCCTTAACACAGCCTCCAAGGCTTCCGTGGCTCTAGCCTGGAACTCCTCTCCCCTCTCTCTCTGGGCTGTGTGCACTGAAGGACTGCAGTTGTTCCTTGGTTCCATGTGTCCTGCTCCCTTCCATACATGTTCTTTCCAAACCCCCTGCAGGGGAGTTTCTTCCCTCAGAAGCCTTATCTGACACCTCACCGCCTGCTGGTCTATGTACCTCCTCTGGACGCTGAAGCCCGCATGCTGACCTGCTGTGCTGTTGGTGTCTGTATATGTTTCTGACACTTTCATTAGACCACAGTTTCTCAACCGTGGCACTTTTGACAATTGGGATGGGGAACTCCTTGTTGAAGGACTGTCCTCAGCAGAGTAGGATGTTTAGCAGCATCCGTGGCCACTACCCGCTAGATGATAATAGCATACCTCCCAGCCCCCACAAGTGCGACAGCCAGAAGCATCTCCAGACATTGTTAAATATTACCTGGGGATCAAAATCACCCCTGGCTGAGAACCACCGTATCAGACTATGAACTGCTAGGGCCTGGTCTGGGGCTGGGTCTTGTTCATGTGTGTGTCATGGCACCCAGAGGAGGGCTGGCCCAGATTAGATGCTCAGTAAATGCTGCTAGAATCTGTGGTGGCCAATTACTGGGCAAAGACCCAAGGGCGGGACTCAGAATTCAGGGTTTTGGGATATGTATGTTGTCGTGGGGGTGGGGCTGTCTCTTCTTTCCCTTTTTTCCCTTTCCCCAGTGGCCATCCAAATCATCATCTCCTTTTGTTCTTCTAATATGGGGCAGGGGAAACTGAGACATCCAGCAGACTTACTGTGTGGCCCTGGGGAAGCCACTTCATCCCTCTGGGCCTCACTTCCTCACTTATACAATATGGGCAAAACAGACTACGTCAGTCAATAGTTATTGACTGAGCCAACAAACCAAGGCAAACTCCTCTCAAAGTGATGGCTGCTCCAGAGCCTGGGGGATGTCCCAGGAGGAAACAATCAAGATGGAGAGGTAAGCCACATGACATTTATAGGGAGCATGGCTGGAACTCAACCACCCTGAGGAGGGTTTGGGGCTCAGGGACGTCACTTCTTCAAGGACATCTTCCAGGAGCCCAGTGCCTGCATGATCCAGGAGCGCCGCTGGTGGGAAGTGGGCAGGTTCTCACAGCTGGGGCTCCAGCGGTGGGTGGTGGCTGAGTAACACACCCATGAGTTCCCGTGCGGCAGCCAGGAGTTCTGCCAGCAGCTGGCCAGGATGTGGTCCTGGACCTGGGCTGCGTAGATGCACACTGATGCTTCTGGGTCATGTCTCAAGTTATCCAGAGCTGCGTCATGGGGAAGGGAGAAGCCTCCTATTAAGACCCAGGGCCCTATGTGGGTCTCATACCTAATCCTTCCCATCTCCATGCCTTGGCTTAGGCACCCTCTGCTTGGCATCCCCTCATCTCACTTTCCTCCTGGCAATTCAAATTATTCACATTTTTCAGAGCCTGAATCAAAACCTGCCTCCTCCAGGAAGCCTTCCTGGACTGTCCCAGCCTACCTTAATGCTTTCATCATATTCCTTGGTTACAAAGTGAGTCAGTCCCCACTTAAGAGTCACCCTGCACCAAATGGCTTTTGGTCTCACTTTGGAGCCTCATTTCCTTAATGAGATTGTGAGCTCCCCTTGGGTGGGGCTGTGTGTTCTGTCTCTTGGTAACCCAGTGGTACTTAATGCTATACTAAACCTGGATTAAAAACTAGTAAAATTGGCCAGGCGCAGTGGCTCATGCCTGTAATCCCAGCACTTTGGGAGGCAGAAGCGGGCGGATCACTTGAGGTCAGGAGTTCGAGACCAGCCTGGCCAACATGGTGAAACCCTGTCTCTACTGAAGATACAAAAATTAGCAGGCGCAGTGGCATCTGCCTGCAGTCTCAGCTACTTGCGAGGCTGAAGCAGGAGAATCGCTTGAACCAGGAGCGAGAGGTTGCAGTGAGCCGAGATTGTGCCACTGCACTCCAGCCTGGGCGATAGAGTGAGACTCCATCTCAAAACAAACAAACAAACAAACAAACAAAAAACTAGTACAACTGAACTGAGTTGAAGACCCTTGTCTTGGGACACATCCCTTCCCTTTCCCTGTTACCCACTGTGATTCTACTCACTGTCTCACTGTCCCCTGAAATTTCACCAATGCGGGGCATGACTTACCAGCTTTCACTTCATTCAGACGATCTTCTGTCATTATGCTCTCCATGCAGGGGACCAGGGACCCTTGAGCGTAATCCAAGAAGTGAGGGCATTTGTCTTCCGACGTCGACCCCACCCCAACCCACCCTTAGACCAGAGTTCCTCAGAGATGCTTTTCCCATTATCCTCCAGCCCCACACATGAGAACACAAAACTTCATTTGGACCCTGGGACAGATTCCCCAAGAGGGGTCCTGGGAAGGATGACTGGTCCAGTGGGCAGGATGGCACCAGGATAGGGGCAGTATCTGGGCTGCAGCTGACCCTGACAGTGCAGCCTGAGGCTAGCCCAGTACCCAGGCTGGGGCTCAGTTTCCTCATCTGTGACACAAGGAAGTGCTGTCTCTGCTGTCCACTTCTATGGGGAGTTTGAGCAGTAATGTAAGACACTGAGCACCTTGCATACCTGTCAGGCAAGGCTATAGCAGGGCCCTAGAGGGCTGAGACTCAACTATGCTGGGTCAAGGATATGTTTCTGATGACTCCTCTGATGCATTGCTCATCCCTCCCTTGCTGCCAGCCTGTGAGCCTGGCTCCTGCAGTATTTGCAGGTCCTTAAATGGGCTGTACCTCTCAGAAGCTCCTTCCCTCACTATTGTTTGTTTGTTTGTTTGTTTGTTTTTAGACAGTGTTGCCCAGACTGGAGTGCAGTGGCATGATCATAGCACACTGCAGCCTCAAACTCCTGGGCTCAAGCAGTCCTCCTGCCTCAGCCTCCTGAGTAGCTAGGACTATAAGCATTTGCCACTATGTCCAGCTAACTTTTTTAAGTATCTGTTTTTTGTAGAGATGGGGTCTTGCTATATTGCTTAGGCTACTCTCAAATTCCTGCCCTTAAATGATCCTCTCACCTTGACTCCCCAAAGGATTGGGATCACAGGAGTAAGCCACCCTGCCTGGCGCCTCACTTCTTTCCCTGGCAATTCCTATTTGTCCTTGAATATTCAATTTAACAAGTGGTTCCTCCAGGAAGTCCTTCCTCACCTTGCTCCGGATAAGTTAGATCCTTCTCTTGGTTTCTTGAGTATCTGCGAGCTTTTCTCTATCTGTTTATACCACATTGTATTTTACTTGTGATTTATGAATTTTATCTCCCACCAGACCAGAAGTTACTTAATCTTAGATCCACTGAGGGGTGACAGTGGGAGGGCAAGGATCTGAGGATCCATCTGAGGATGCAAAATTGTATACATATATGCATTTTTTTCAGGAAAGTATTCATAATTTTCTTCAGAGTATCACAAAAAAGCCATAACCCAAAAAAGGTTAATAATCATTGCACTGCTCTGGGAGCTATCTATGGGCAGATCAAGGCTCTACTCACTATGTTTCCCCAGCACAGGCCCTGACATACAGATGATTCCCAGGGTGTTAGACACTCCATTTTAGAAGTGATTAATTTAGAGCAAGATTTAAAGAAATCAGCACGTAGGAAGTAGATGTCTCTGAGCAGCCCCCACATTCTAAGGGATTCCTCCAGTCCTGAGCATTTTTCTTCTGCACCAGCATTGATCATGTTAACAGCCACCCCCTATCGCCACACCTTCATCAGCATCACCTCCTGAAGGGCTCTTTGTTGTTCTAGCCTAAGCATCACACCTCTCACAGAGTACGGAATCAACGTTTGCTAAATAAACCAGCAGATGGGTGGATGAATGATCGGACGGAAGAAAACAGCAAATTAACTTGGGAAAGGTACTAAAAAATATCACTTCACAAATGGCATCATTTCCAAGCCTCTTTGCAACAAGGTCTCCTGGCCCTTGGTGAAGGGCATGTGGTTATTTGGAGGGAGGGGTGAGTAACTGGGAGGAGACACACCCACTTGCCATCAGAAGGGTCCTGTCGGGGGCTCTGGTCAAGGGGAATGTGCTGTTTGTTTTTGGTGTTTTTTGTTTGTTTGTTTGTTTGTTTTTTCCAAAAAGAAAGTTTGGGATTATGGGAAATGGAAGAATGAAGACTGCTAACATTGAGCACCTGTATGTGCCATCCCTCCCCTTTTAAAAAATATTCTCATTCAGTCTGTGAAACAGGAGGTGATCCCTATCTTACAGATGAGGAAACTGAGGCTCAGTGGGAGTAAATAATCCAGTTAGGGTGACACAGGAAGGGAACCATGGAACTGAGATTCTACTTGACTCTTTTCACCATGCTGCTTGGCCCCTCCTGCTGCTGTCAATGGGGGATTTGCCCAGGCTCCTGCTAGGCTTGTACCCATGCTGTACTCCAGAGAAAAGCAGCAGTTCTGCCATATACAGTTGCCAAGGTTGTGACCTGCACAAAGACTTCAGACTGAATCCAGCCTGTAGCTCACTTCCTAAGCCATGATCTTAGAGTGGGGAAAACCATTCTAACTTTCACCATGGCTGTCTGGTGGCCAAGCCTTGCACCCAAAGGGAAGCATCCCCCCAGGTGCTGAAAGGGCTAGCAGCCTGGGAGGAAACAAACTGGAGAGCAGGCAGAGCCCTGGCAGCAGGATGACTTATGCCAGGGCAGGTTACCTATGAACATGACTGAGCACTTCCGGAGGGAGGCCCGTGAGTTCTTGGCATACTCCAGGCTCTGGCTGAGGAATATGAAGGCGCTGTCTCGGTGGGTGTTCACCTAGGACAAAGAGAAACCCCAAAAGTGCTGGCCTCTCAGAGGAACCAATTGCCCATCCACCCTTCTTGAAGCTAGGAATGGTGACCCTCACCCCCTGCCTCCCAAATATATCTGCTCCCTCTGCATGAGTCCCCCACAGGCCAGGGCTTATCTCCTCTTAGCTGATTACAACAATCACTTCGATGATGTTCCTGCCTTGGGTGTCTCCTCTTCCAATTTACCCCCCTGCTGCAGTCAGAGGGAAAGTTCTAAAATGCAGATCCAGCCAGTGATGGGAATGGACATGGCATGTGAGGGACATAGGTAAGGAGACAGTTTGACCAGGGTGAAGGATTCAAGGTATAGAGCAATGGGGATAAACTGGAGAGTCAGGGGGTCTTAAAAGCCAGACAGAAATAGGGCTTACTCGTACATTAGGAAAGAAGAAGGCAACATTGATTTACTCTTAATAGGACAGTGAGAAAGCCACGTTTTGGGTAAAATAGTCTGACAGAGGTAGTCACGATGGCTTTGACAGGTAGAAAGTGGGAGACAGTTGTCCAGCTAAGGAGCTTGTCCAGCTAAGGAGCTGTTGAGGGAGAAGATGAGAAATCTGATCTGATCACTCTCCTGTTGACGACCTATGTGTATCAAGGCCTAAGCTCCTAGGCCTGGCATGCAAAGCTTCATGATCATGTTCTGGGTCTGACCTTCCTTCGAAGTCTCAGCTCCTTCCACTGACTCCACCTGTCATGCCCACCATGCTGCACTCCGAGGACATGACCAGCTATCCCCAGATCTGCACCTTCTACAAGAAATTGCTCCTATTTGGAGTGCCCTTCCCACTCTTCTTCACCTCATAAATTCCCTCTCATCCTTTAAGCCTCAGCTCAGATGCCACCTCCTTCCTGAAGCCTTCCACAGCCCTTAGGCAGAGCTCCATCCCACCACCCTTGATGTTTCTAGCAGATCTTGCTCATCCTTTGTCATGACACCTATGACACTGTGTTGTAATTATTTATACTGATGTCCCCCCACTGTATCTCGGGCTCCCCCAAGAGAAGGGGCCATTTCACTCAGCTAAGAGTCTCAGCACCCTGGACAG